>NC_000014.9:17699083-17857230 GCF_000001405.40 Homo sapiens | reverse complement strand
GCTTTTATTGGAAGACGTTTCCTTTTCACCAAAGGCATCAAAGCGCTCCAAATGTCCACTTCCAGATTCTTCCAAAAGAGTGTTTCAAACGTGCTCAAAGTAAGGGAATGTTCAACTCTGTGACTTGAATGCAGATATCACCAAGTAGTTTCTAATAGTGCTTCTGTGTATACTTTAGATGAAGATATTCCCGTTTCCAACGATATCGTTAGACCTATCCAAATATCCACTTACAGTTTCTACAAAAAGAGTGTTTCCAAACTGCTGCATCAAAAGAAAGGTTCAACTCTGTTAGTTGAGGACACACATCACAAAGAAGTTTCTGAGAAAGCTTCTGTCCAGATTTTGTATGACGATATTCCCTTTTCCAACGATATCATTAAAGCAATCTAAATATCCATTTGCAGAATCCACAAAAATAGAGTTTCAAAGCTGCTCTGTAAAAAGAAAGGTTCCACTCTGTTAGCTGAGTACACACATCACAAACTTGTCTCTCAGAATCCTTCTGTCTCGTTTTTATGGGAAGATATTTTACTTTTTCACCGTAGGAATCAAAGCGCTCCAAATGTCCACATCCAGATACTCCAGAAAGAGTGTTTCAAACCTGCTCTATGAAAGGGAATCTTCAACTCTATGAGTTGAATGCAGACATCAGAAAGAAATTTCTGAGAATGCTTGCTGTCTACCTTTTATTTGAACTCCCGCTTCCAACGAAATCCTCCAAGCTATCCAAATATCCACTTGCATTTTCCACAAAAAGAGTGCTTCAAAACTGCTCTATCAATAAATGTTCAACTCCTTTAGCTGGGTGCACACATCACAAACAAGTTTCTGAGAATGCTTCTGTCTAGTTTTTATGGGAAGACATTCCCTTTTTCACCAAAGGCATCAAAGCGCTCCAAATGTCCACTTCCAGACACTACAAAAAGAGTGTTTCAAACGTGCTCTAAGAAAGCGAATGTTCAACTCTGTGACTTGAATGCAGATATCACAAAGTAGTTTCTGAGAGGGCTTCTGTCTAGATTTTAGATGATGATATTCTCGTTTCCAACGAAATCATTAGAGCTATCCAAATATCCACTTACAGTTTCTACAAAAAGAGTGTTTCCAAACTGCTGCATCAAAGGAGAGGTTCCAATCTGTTAGCTGAGTACACACATCACAAACTTGTTTCTCAGAATCCTTCTGTCTCGTTTTTATGGGAAGATATTTACTTTTGCACCGTAGGCATCAAAGCGCTCCAAATGTCCACATCCAGATACTCCAGAAAGAGTGTTTCAAACCTGCTCTATGAAAGGGAATCTTCAACTCTATGAGTTGAATGCAGACATCAGAAAGAAATTTCTGAGAATGCTGCTGTCTACCTTTTATTTGAATTCCCGCTTCCAACGAAATCCTCCAAGCTATCCAAATATCCACTTGCAGATTCCACAAAAAGAGTGTTTCAAAACTGCTCTCTATCAATGGCAAAGTTCAACTCTGTTAGTTGAGGACACATATCACCAACAAGTTTCTGAGAATGCTTCTGTCTATTTTTTATGGGAAGATATTTCCTTTTTCACTGTAGGCATCAAGGCGATCGAAATGTCCACTTCCACAAACTACAAAAAGAGTGTTTCAAACCTGCTCTATGAAAGGCCATGTTCATCTCTATGAGTTGAATGGAAATATCCGAAAGAAATTTCTGGGAATGCTGCTGTCTAGTTTTTATACGAATTCCCGCTTCCAACGAAATCCTCAAAGCAATCCAAATATCCACTTGCAGAATCCACAAAAAGAGTGTTTCAAAACTGCTCTATCAATAGAAAGGTTCAACTCTTTTAGTTGAGTACACACATCACAAACAAGTTTCTGAGAATGCTTCTGTCTGGCTTTTATTGGAAGATGTTTCCTTTTCACCAAAGGCATCAAAGCGCTCCAAATGTCCACTTCCAGATTCTTCCAAAAGAGTGTTTGAAACGTGCTCAAAGTAAGGGAATGTTCAACTCTGTGACTTGAATGCAGATATCACCAAGTAGTTTCTAATAGTGCTTATGTCTAGATTTTAGATGATGATATTCCCGTTTCCAACGAAATCGCTAGAGCTATCCAAATATCCAGTTACAGTTTCTACCAAAAGGGTGTTTCCAAATTGCTGCATCAAAAGAAAGGTTCAACTCTGTTAGTTGAGGACACACATCACAAAGAAGTTTGTGAGAATGCTTCTGTCTAGATTTTGTATGACCATATTCCCTTTTCCAGCGATATCATTAAAGCAATCTAAATATCCATTTGCAGAATCCACAAAAATAGAGTTTCAAAGCTGCTCTGTAAAAAGAAAGGTTCCACTCTGTTAGCTGAGTACACACATCACAAACTTGTCTCTCAGAATCCTGCTGTCTACCTTTTATTTGAATTCCCACTTCCAACGAAATCCTCCAAGCTATCCAAATATCCACCTGCATTTTCCACAACAAGAGTGTTTCAAAACTGCTCTATCAATAGAAATGTTCAACTCCTTTGGCTGGGTACACACATCACAAACAAGTTTCTGAGAATGCTTCTGTCTAGTTTTTATGGGAAGACATTGCCTTTTTCACCAAAGGCATCAAAGCGCTCCAAATGTCCACTTCCAGACACTACAAAAAGAGTGTTTCAAACGTGCTCTAAGAAAGCGAATGTTCAACTCTGTGACTTGAATGCAGATATCACAAAGTAGTTTCTGAGAGGGCTTCTGTCTAGATTTTAGATGATGATATTCCCGTTTCCAACGAAATCATTAGAGCTATCCAAATATCCACTTACAGTTTCTACAAAAAGAGTGTTTCCAAACTGCTGCATCAGAAGAGAGGTTCCACTCTGTTAGCTGAGTACACACATCACAAACTTGTTTCCGAGAATCCTTCTGTCTAGCTTTTATGGGAAGATATTTACTTTTTCACCGTAGGCATCAAAGCTTTCCAAATGTCCACATCCAGATAGTACAGAAAGAGTGTTTCAAACCTGCTATATGAAAGGGAATGTTCAACTCTATGAGTTGAATGCAAACATCACAAAGAAATTTCTGAGAATGCTGCTGTCTACCTTTTATTTGAATTCCCGCTTCCAACGAAATCCTCCAGGCTATCCAAATATCCACTTGCAGATTCCACAAAAAGAGTGTTTCAAAACTGATCTATCAATGGCAAGGTTCAACTCTGTCAGTTGAGGATACACATCACAAACAAGTTTCTGAGAATTCTTCTGTCTATTTTTTATGGGAAGATACTTCCTTTTTCACCGTAGGCGTCAAGGCGATCGAAATGTCCACTTCCACAAACTACAAAAAGAGTGTTTCAAACCTGCTCTATGAAAGGCCATGTTCATCTCTATGAGTTGAATGGAAATATCCGAAAGAAATTTCTGGGAATGCTGCTGTCTAGTTGTTATATGAATTCCCGCTTCCAACGAAATCCTCAAAGCAATCCAAATATCCACTTGCAGAATCCACAAAAAGAGTGTTTCAAAACTGCTCTATCAATAGAAAGGTTCAACTCTTTTAGTTGAGTACACACATCACAAACAAGTTTCTGAGAATGCTTCTGTCTGGCTTTTGTTGGGAGACGTTTCCTTTTCACCAAAGGCATCAAAGCGCTCCAAATGTCCACTTCCAGATTCTTCCAAAAGAGTGTTTCAAACGTGCTCAAAGTAAGGGAATGTTCAACTCTGTGACTTGAATGCAGATATCACCAAGTAGTTTCTAATAGTGCTTCTGTCTAGATTTTAGATGATGATATTCCCGTTTCCAACGAAATCGTTAGAGCTATCCAAATATCCACTTACAGTTGCTACAAAAAGAGTGTTTCCAAACTGCTGCATCAAAAGAAAGGTTCAACTCTGTTAGTTGAGGACACACATCACAAAGAAGTTTGTGAGAATGCTTCTGTCTAGATTTTGTATGACGATATTCCCTTTTCCAACGATATCATTAAAGCAATCTAAATATCCATTTGCAGAATCCACAAAAATAGAGTTTCAAAGCTGCTCTGTAAAAAGAAAGGTTCCACTCTGTTAGCTGAGTACACACATCACAAACTTGTTTCTCAGAATCCTTCTGTCTCGTTTTTATGGGAAGATATTTACTTTTTCACCGTAGGCATCAAAGCGCTCCAAATGTCCACATCCAGATACTCCAGAAAGAGTGTTTCAAACCTGCTCTATGAAAGGGAATCTTCAACTCTATGAGTTGAATGCAGACATCAGAAAGAAATTTCTGAGAATGCTGCTGTCTACCTTTTATTTGAACTCCCGCTTCCAACGAAATCCTCCAAGCTATCCAAATATCCACTTGCATTTTCCACAAAAAAAGTGCTTCAAAACTGCTCTATCAATAAATGTTCAACTCCTTTAGCTGGGTGCACACATCACAAACAAGTTTCTGAGAATGCTTCTGTCTAGTTTTTATGGGAAGACGTTCCCTTTTTCACCAAAGGCATCAAAGCGCTCCAAATGTCCACTTCCAGACACTACAAAAACAGTGTTTCAAACGTGCTCTAAGAAAGCGAATGTTCAACTCTGTGACTTGAATGCAGATATCACAAAGTAGTTTCTGAGAGTGCTTCTGTCTAGATTTTAGATGATGATATTCCCGTTTCCAACGAAATCATTAGAGCTATCCAAATATCCACTTACAGTTTCTACAAAAAGAGTGTTTCCAAACTGCTGCATCAAAACAGAGGTTCCACTCTGTTAGCTGAGTACACACATCACAAACTTGTTTCTCAGAATCCTTCTGTCTCGTTTTTATGGGAAGATATTTACTTTTTCACCGTAGGCATCAAAGCGCTCCAAATGTCCACATCCAGATACTCCAGAAAGTGTGTTTCAAACCTGCTCTATGAAAGGGAATCTTCAACTCTATGAGTTGAATGCAGACATCAGAAAGAAATTTCTGAGAATGCTGCTGTCTACCTTTAATTTGAATTCCCGCTTCCAACGAAATCCTCCAAGCTATCCAAATATCCACCTGCATTTTCCACAACAAGAGTGTTTCAAAACTGCTCTATCAATAGAAATGTTCAACTCCTTTGGCTGGGTACACACATCACAAACAAGTTTCTGAGAATGCTTCTGTCTAGTTTTTATGGGAAGACATTCCCTTTTTCACCAAAGGCATCAAAGCGCTCCAAATGTCCACTTCCAGACACTACAAAAAGAGTGTTTCAAACGTGCTCTAAGAAACCGAATGTTCAACTCTGTGAGTTGAATGCAGATATCACAAAGTAGTTTCTGAGAGGGCTTCTGTCTAGATTTTAGATGATGATATTCCCGTTTCCAACGAAATCATTAGAGCTATCCAAATATCCACTTACAGTTTCTACAAAAAGAGTGTTTCCAAACTGCTGCATCAAAAGAGAGGTTCCACTCTGTTAGCTGAGTACACACATCACAAACTTGTTTCTCAGAATCCTTCTGTCTCGTTTTTATGGGAAGATTATACTTTTTCACCGTAGGCATCAAAGCGCTCCAAATGTCCACATCCAGATACTCCAGAAAGAGTGTTTCAAACCTGCTCTATGAAAGGGAATGTTCAACTCTATGAGTTGAATGCAGACATCAGAAAGAAATTTCTGAGAATGCTGCTGTCTACCTTTTATTTGAATTCCCGCTTCCAACGAAATCCTCCAAGCTATCCAAATATCCACTTGCAGATTCCACAAAAAGAGTGTTTCAAAACTGCTCTCTATCAATGGCAAAGTTCAACTCTGTTAGTTGAGGACACCTATCACCAACAAGTTTCTGAGAATGCTTCTGTCTATTTTTTATGGGAAGATATTTCCTTTTTCACCGTAGGCGTCAAGGCGATCGAAATGTCCACTTCCACAAACTACAAAAAGAGTGTTTCAAACCTGCTCTATGAAAGGCCATGTTCATCTCTATGAGTCGAATGGAAATATCCGAAAGAAATTTCTGGGAATGCTGCTGTCTAGTTTTTATACGAATTCCCGCTTCCAACGAAATCCTCAAAGCAATCCAAATATCCACTTGCAGAATCCACAAAAAGAGTGTTTCAAAACTGCTCTATCAATAGAAAGGTTCAACTCTTTTAGTTGAGTACACACATCACAAACAAGTTTCTGAGAATGCTTCTGTCTGGCTTTTATTGGAAGACGTTTCCTTTTCACCAAAGGCATCAAAGCGCTCCAAATGTCCACTTTCAGATTCTTCCAAAAGAGTGTTTCAAACGTGCTCGAAGTAAGGGAATGTTCTACTCTGTGATTTGAATGCAGATATCACCAAGTAGTTTCTAATAGTGCTTCTGTCTAGATTTTAGATGATGATATTCCCGTTTCCAACGAAATCGTTAGAGCTATCCAAATATCCAGTTACAGTTTCTACCAAAAGGGTGTTTCCAAATTGCTGCATCAAAAGAAAGGTTCAACTCTGTTAGTTGAGGACACACATCACAAAGAAGTTTGTGAGAATGCTTCTGTCTAGATTTTGTATGAGGATATTCCCTTTTCCAACGATATCGTTAAAGCAATCTAAATATCAATTTGCAGAATCCACAAAACTAGAGTTTCAAAGCTGCTCTGTAAAAAGAAAGGTTCCACTCTGTTAGCTGAGTACACACATCACAAACTTGTTTCTGAGAATCCTTCTGTCTCGTTTTTATGGGAAGATATTTACTTTTCCACTGTAGGCATCAAAGCGCTCCAAATGTCCACATCCAGATACTCCAGAACGAGTGTTTCAAACCTGCTCTATGAAAGGGAATCTTCAACTCTATGAGTTGAATGCAGAATCAGAAAGAAATTTCTGAGAATGCTGCTGTCTACCTTTTATTTGAATTCCCGCTTCCAACGAAATCCTCCAAGCTATCCAAATATCCACCTGCATTTTCCACAAAAAGAGAGTTTCAAAACTGCTCTATCAATAGAAATGTTCATCTCCTTTGGCTGGGTACACACATCACAAACAAGTTTCTGAGAATGCTTCTGTCTAGTTTTTATGGGAAGACATTCCCTTTTTCACCAAAGGCATCAAAGCGCTCCAAATGTCCACTTCCAGACACTACAAAAAGAGTGTTTCCAACGTGCTCTAAGAAAGCGAATGTTCAACTCTGTGACTTGAATTCAGATATCACAAAGTAGTTTCTGAGAGGGCTTCTGTCTAGATTTTAGATGATGATATTCCCGTTTCCAACGAAATCATTAGAGCTATCCAAATATCCACTTACAGTTTCTACAAAAAGAGTGTTTCCAAACTGCTGCATCAAAAGAGAGGTTCCACTCTGTTAGCTGAGTACACACATCACAAACTTGTTTCTCAGAATCCTTCTGTCTCGTTTTTCTGGGAAGATATTTACTTTTTCACCGTAGGCATCAAAGCGCTCCAAATGTCCACATCCAGATACTCCAGAAAGAGTGTTTCAAACCTGCTCTATGAAAGGGAATCTTCAACTCTATGAGTTGAATGCAGACATCAGAAAGAAATTTACTGAGAATGCTGCTGTCTACCTTTTATTTGAATTCCCGCTTCCAACGAAATCCTTCAAGCTATCCAAATATCCACTTGCAGATTCCACAAAAAGAGTGTTTCAAAACTGCTCTCTATCAATGGCAAAGTTCAACTCTGTTAGTTGAGGACACATATCACCAACAAGTTTTTGAGAATGCTTCTGTCTATTTTTTATGGGAAGATATTTCCTTTTTCACCGTAGGCGTCAAGGCGATCGAAATGTCCACTTCCACAAACTACAAAAAGAGTGTTGCAAACCTGCTCTATGAAAGGCCATGTTCATCTCTATGAGTTGAATGGATATATCCGAAAGAAATTTCTGGGAATGCTGCTGTCTAGTGTTTATACGAATTCCCGCTTCCAACGAAATCCTCAAAGCAATCCAAATATCCACTTGCAGAATCCACAAAAAGAGTGTTTCAAAACTGCTCTATCAATAGAAAGGTTCAACTCTTTTAGTTGAGTACACACATCACAAACAAGTTTCTGAGAATGCTTCTGTCTGGCTTTTATTGGAAGACGTTTCCTTTTCACCAAAGGCATCAAAGCGCTCCAAATGTCCACTTCCAGATTCTTCCAAAAGAGTGTTTCAAAAGTGCTCGAAGTAAGGGAATGTTCTACTCTGTGACTTGAATGCAGATATCACCAAGTAGTTTCTAATAGTGCTTCTGTCTACATTTTAGATGATGATATTCCCGTTTCCAACGAAATCGTTAGAGCTATCCAAATATCCAGTTACAGTTTCTACCAAAAGGGTGTTTCCAAATTGCTGCATCAAAAGAAAGGTTCAACTCTGTTAGTTGAGGACACACATCACAAAGAAGTTTGTGAGAATGCTTATCTGTCTATATTTTGTATGACCATATTCCCTTTTCCAGCGATATCATTAAAGCAATCTAAATATCCATTTGCAGAATCCACAAAAATAGAGTTTCAAAGCTGCTCTGTAAAAAGAAAGGTTCCACTCTGTTAGCTGAGTACACACATCACAAACTTGTTTCTGAGAATCCTTCTGTCTCGTTTTTATGGGAAGATATTTACTTTTTCACCGTAGGCATCAAAGCGCTCCAAATGTCCACATCCAGATACTGCAGAAAGAGTGTTTCAAACCTGCTCTATGAAAGGGAATCTTCAACTCTATGAGTTGAATGCAGACATCAGAAAGAAATTTCTGAGAATGCTGCTGTCTACCTTTTATTTGAACTCCCACTTCCAACGAAATCCTCCAAGCTATCCAAATATCCACTTGCATTTTCCACAAAAAGAGTGCTTCAAAACTGCTCTATCAATAAATGTTCAACTCCTTTAGCTGGGTGCACACATCACAAACAAGTTTCTGAGAATGCTTCTGTCTAGTTTTTATGGGAAGACGTTCCCTTTTTCACCAAAGGCATCAAAGCGCTCCAAATGTCCACTTCCAGACACTACAAAAAGAGTGTTTCAAACGTGCTCTAAGAAAGCGAATGTTCAACTCCTGTGACTTGAATGCAGATATCACAAAGTAGTTTCTGAGAGGGCTTCTGTCTAGATTTTAGATGATGATATTCCCGTTTCCAACGAAATCATTAGAGCTATCCAAATATCCACTTACAGTTTCTACAAAAAGAGTGTTTCCAAACTGCTGCATCAGAAGAGAGGTTCCACTCTGTTAGCTGAGTACGCACATCACAAACTTGTTTCTGAGAATCCTTCTTCAATTTTTTATGGGAAGACATTTCCTTTTTCACCGTAGGCATCAAAGCGCTCCAAATGTCCACATCCAGATAGTACAGAAAGAGTGTTTCAAACCTGCTCTATTAAAGGGAATGTTCAACTCTATGAGTTGAATGCAAACATCAGAAAGGAATTTCTGAGAATGCTGCTGTCTACCTTTTATTTGAATTCCCGCTTCCAACGAAATCCTCCAAGCTATCCAAATATCCACTTGCAGATTCCACAAAAAGAGTGTTTCAAAACTGCTCTCTATCAATGGCAAAGTTCAACTCTGTTAGTTGAGGACACATATCACCAACAAGTTTCTGAGAATGCTTCTGTCTATTTTTTATGGGAAGATATTTCCTTTTTCACCGTAGGCGTCAAGGCGATCGAAATGTCCACTTCCAGAAACTACAAAATGAGTGTTTCAAACCTGCTCTATGAAAGGCCATGTTCATCTCTATGAGTTGAATGGAAATATCCGAAAGAAATTTCTGGGAATGCTGCTGTCTAGTGTTTATACGAATTCCCGCTTCCAACGAAATCCTCAAAGCAATCCAAATATCCACTTGCAGAATCCACAAAAAGAGTGTTTCAAAACTGCTCTATCAATAGAAAGGTTCAACTCTTTTAGTTGAGTACACACATCACGAACAAGTTTCTGAGAATGCTTTTGTCTGGCTTTTATTGGAAGACGTTTCCTTTTCACCAAAGGCATCAAAGCGCTCCAAATGTCCACTTCCAGATTTTTCCAAAAGAGTGTTTCAAACGTGCTCAAAGTAAGGGAATGTTCAACTCTGTGACTTGAATGCAGATATCACCAAGTAGTTTCTAATAGTGCTTCTGTCTAGATTTTAGATGATGATATTCCCGTTTCCAACGAAATCATTAGAGCTATCCAAATATCCACTTACAGTTTCTACAAAAAGAGTGTTTCCAAACTGCTGCATCAAAAGAAAGTTTCAACTCTGTTAGTTGAGGACACACATCACAAAGAAGTTTGTGAGAATGCTTCTGTCCAGATTTTGTATGACGATATTCCCTTTTCCAACGATATCGTTAAAGCAATCTAAATATCAATTTGCAGAATCCACAAAAATAGAGTTTCAAAGCTGCTCTGTAAAAAGAAAGGTTCCACTCTGTTAGCTGAGTACACACATCAGAAACTTGTTTCTGAGAATCCTTCTGTCTCGTTTTTATGGGAAGATATTTACTTTTCCAACGTAGGCATCAAAGCGCTCCAAATGTCCACATCCAGATACTCCAGAAAGAGTGTTTCAAACCTGCTCTATGAAAGGGAATCTTCAACTCTATGAGTTGAATGCAGACATCAGAAAGAAATTTCTGAGAATGCTGCTGTCTACCTTTTATTTGAATTCCCGCTTCCAACGAAATCCTCCAAGCTATCCAAATATCCACCTGCATTTTCCACAACAAGAGTGTTTCAAAACTGCTCTATCAATAGAAATGTTCAACTCCTTTGGCTGGGTACACACATCACAAACAAGTCTCTGAGAATGTTTCTGTCTAGTTTTTATGGGAAGACATTCCCTTTTTCACCAAAGGAATCAAAGCGCTCCAAATGTCCACTTCCAGACACTACAAAAAGAGTGTTTCAAACGTGCTCTAAGAAAGCGAATGTTCAACTCTGTGACTTGAATGCAGATATCACAAAGTAGTTTCTGAGAGGGCTTCTGTCTAGATTTTAGATGATGATATTCCCGTTTCCAACGAAATCATTAGAGCTATCCAAATATCCACTTACAGTTTCTACAAAAAGAGTGTTTCCAAACTGCTGGATCAAAAGAGAGGTTCCACTCTGTTAGCTGAGTACACACATCACAAACTTGTTTCTGAGAATCCTGCTGTCTACCTTTTATTTGAATTTCCGCTTCCAACGAACTCCTCCAAGCTATCCAAATATCCACTTGCAGATTCCACAAAAAGAGTGTTTCAAAACTGCTCTCTATCAATGGCAAAGTTCAACTCTGTTAGTTGAGGACACATATCACCAACAAGTTTCTGAGAATGCTTCTGTCTATTTTTTATGGGAAGATATTTCCTTTTTCACCGTAGGCGTCAAGGCGATCGAAATGTCCACTTCCACAAACTACAAAAAGAGTGTTTCAAACCTGCTCTATGAAAGGCCATGTTCATCTCTATGAGTTGAATGGAAATATCCGAAAGAAATTTCTGGGAATGCTGCTGTCTAGTGTTTATACGAATTCCCGCTTCCAACGAAATCCTCAAAGCAATCCAAATATCCACTTGCAGAATCCACAAAAAGAGGGTTTCAAAACTGCTCTATCAATAGAAAGGTTCAACTCTTTTAGTTGAGTACACACAACACGAACAAGTTTCTGAGAATGCTTCTGTCTGGCTTTTATTGGAAGACGTTTCCTTTTCACCAAAGGCATCAAAGCGCTCCAAATGTCCACTTCCAGATTCTTCCAAAAGAGTGTTTCAAACGTGGTCGAAGTAAGGGAATGTTCAACTCTGTGACTTGAATGCAGATATCACCAAGTAGTTTCTAATAGTGCTTCTGTCTACATTTTAGATGATGATATTCCCGTTTCCAACGAAATCGTTAGAGCTATCCAAATATCCAGTTACAGTTTCTACCAAAAGGGTGTTTCCAAATTGCTGCATCAAAAGAAAGGTTCAACTCTGTTAGTTGAGGACACACATCACAAAGAAGTTTGTGAGAATGCTTCTGTCCAGATTTTGTATGACAATATTCCCTTTTCCAACGATATCGTTAAAGCAATCTAAATATCAATTTGCAGAATCCACAAAAATAGAGTTTCAAAGCTGCTCTGTAAAAAGAAAGGTTCCACTCTGTTAGCTGAGTACACACATCACAAACTTGTTTCTGAGAATCCTTCTGTCTCGTTTTTATGGGAAGATATTTACTTTTCCACCGTAGGCATCAAAGCGCTCCAAATGTCCACATCCGGATACTCGAGAACGAGTGTTTCAAACCTGCTCTATGAAAGGGAATCTTCAACTCTATGAGTTGAATGCAGACATCAGAAAGAAATTTCTGAGAATGCTGCTGTCTACCTTTTATTTGAATTCCCGCTTCCAACGAAATCCTCCAAGCTATCCAAATATCCACTTGCATTTTCCACAAAAAGAGTGTTTCAAAACTGCTCTATCAATAGAAATGTTCAACTCCTTTGGCTGGGTACACACATCACAAACAAGTTTCTGAGAATGCTTCTGTCTAGTTTTTATGGGAAGACGTTCCCTTTTTCACCAAAGGCATCAAAGCGCTCCAAATGTCCACTTCCAGACACTACAAAAAGAGTGTTTCCAACGTGCTCTAAGAAAGCGAATGTTCAACTCTGTGACTTGAATGCAGATATCACAAAGTAGTTTCTGAGAGTGCTTCTGTCTAGATTTTAGATGATGATATTCCCGTTTCCAACGAAATCATTAGAGCTATCCAAATATCCACTTACAGTTTCTACAAAAAGAATGTTTCCAAACTGCTGCATCAAAAGAGAGGTTCCACTCTGTTAGCTGAGTACACACATCACAAACTTGTTTCTCAGAATCCTTCTGTCTCGTTTTTATGGGAAGATATTTACTTTTCCACCGTAGGCATCAAAGCGCTCCAAATGTCCACATCCAGATACTCCAGAAAGAGTGTTTCAAACCTGCTCTATGAAAGGGAATCTTCAACTCTATGAGTTGAATGCAGACATCAGAAAGAAATTTCTGAGAATGCTGCTGTCTACCTTTTATTTGAATTCCCGCTTCCAACGAAATCCTCCAAGCTATCCAAATATCCACTTGCAGATTCCACAAAAAGAGTGTTTGAAAACTGCTCTCTATCAATGGCAAAGTTCAACTCTGTTAGTTGAGGACACATATCACCAACAAGTTTCTGAGAATGCTTCTGTCTATTTTTTATGGGAAGATATTTCCTTTTTCAGCGTAGGTGTCAAGGCGATCGAAATGTCCACTTCCACAAACTACAAAAAGAGTGTTTCAAACCTGCTCTATGAAAGGCCATGTTCATCTCTATGAGTTGAATGGAAATATCCGAAAGAAATTTCTGGGAATTCTGCTGTCTAGTGTTTATACGAATTCCCGCTTCCAACGAAATCCTCAAAGCAATCCAAATATCCACTTGCAGAATCCACAAAAAGAGTGTTTCAAAACTGCTCTATCAATAGAAAGGTTCAACTCTTTTAGTTGAGTACACACATCACAAACAAGTTTCTGAGAATGCTTCTGTCTGGTTTTTATTAGAAGACGTTTCCTTTTTCACCAAAGGCATCAAAGCGCTCCAAATGTCCACTTCCAGATTCTTCCAAAAGAGTGTTTCAAACGTGCTCGAAGTAAGGGAATGTTCTACTCTGTGACTTGAATGCAGATATCACCAGGTAGTTTCTAATAGTGCTTCTGTCTAGATTTTAGATGATGATATTCCCGTTTCCAACGAAATCGTTAGAGCTATCCAAATATCCAGTTACAGTTTCTACCAAAAGGGTGTTTCCAAATTGCTGCATCAAAAGAAAGGTTCAACTCTGTTAGTTGAGGACACACATCACAAAGAAGTTTGTGAGAATGCTTCTGTCTAGATTTTGTATGACGATATTCCCTTTTCCAACGATATCGTTAAAGCAATCTAAATATCAATTTGCAGAATCCACAAAAATAGAGTTTCAAAGCTGCTCTGTAAAAAGAAAGGTTCCACTCTGTTAGCTGAGTACACACATCACAAACTTGATTCTGAGAATCCTTCTGTCTCGTTTTTATGGGAAGATATTTACTTTTCCACTGTAGGCATCAAAGCGCTCCAAATGTCCACATCCAGATACTCCAGAACGAGTGTTTCAAACCTGCTCTATGAAAGGGAATCTTCAACTCTATGAGTTGAATGCAGACATCAGAAAGAAATTTCTGAGAATGCTGCTGTCTACCTTTTATTTGAATTCCCGCTTCCAACGAAAACCTCCAAGCTATCCAAATATCCACTTGCAGATTCCACAAAAAGAGTGTTTCAAAACTTCTCTATCAATAGAAATGTTCAACTCCTTTCGCTGGGTACACACATCACAAACAAGTTTCTGAGAAAGCTTCTGTCTAGTTTTTATGGGAAGACATTTCCTTTTTCACCAAAGGCATCAAAGAGCTCCAAATGTCCACTTCCAGATACTACAAAAAGAGTGTTTCAAAAGTGCTCTAAGAAAGCGAATGTTCAACTCTGTGACTTGAATGCAGATATCAAAAAGTAGTTTCTGAGAGTGCTTCTGTCTAGATTTTAGATGATGATATTCCCGTTTCCAACGAAATCATTAGAGCTATCCAAATATCCACTTACAGTTTCTACAAAAAGAGTGTTTCCAAACTGCTGCATCAAAAGAGAGGTTCCACTCTGTTAGCTGAGTACACACATCACAAACTTGTTTCTCAGAATCCTTCTGTCTCGTTTTTATGGGAAGATATTTACTTTTTCCACCGTAGGCATCAAAGCGCTCCAAATGTCCACATCCAGATACTCCAGAAAGAGTGTTTCAAACCTGCTCTATGAAAGGGAATCTTCAACTCTATGAGTTGAATGCAGACATCAGAAAGAAATTTCTGAGAATGCTGCTGTCTACCTTTTATTTGAATTCCCGCTTCCAACGAAATCCTCCAAGCTATCCAAATATCCACTTGCATTTTCCACAAAAAGAGTGTTTCAAAACTGCTCTATCAATGGAAATGTTCAACTCCTTTAGCTGGGTACACACATCACAAACAAGTTTCTGAGAATGCTTCTGTCTAGTTTTTATGGGAAGACATTCCCTTTTTCACCAAAGGCATCAAAGCGCTCCAAATGTCCACTTCCAGACACTACAAAAAGAGTGTTTCCAACGTGCCCTAAGAAAGCGAATGTTCAACTCTGTGACTTGAATGCAGATATCACAAAGTAGTTTCTGAGAGGGCTTCTGTCTAGATTTTAGATGATGATATTCCCGTTTCCAACGAAATCATTAGAGCTATCCAAATATCCACTTACAGTTTCTACAAAAAGAGTGTTTCCAAACTGCTGCATCAAAAGAGAGGTTCCACTCTGTTAGCTGAGTACACACATCACAAACTTGTTTCTCAGAATCCTTCTGTCTCTTTTTTATGGGAAGATATTTACTTTTTCACCGTAGGCATCAAAGCGCTCCAAATGTCCACATCCAGATACTCCAGAAAGAGTGTTTCAAACCTGCTCTATGAAAGGGAATCTTCAACTCTATGAGTTAAATTCAGACATCAGAAAGAAATTTCTGAGAATGCTGCTGTCTACCTTTTATTTGAATTCCCGCTTCCAACGAAATCCTCCAAGCTATCCAAATATCCACTTGCAGATTCCACAAAAAGAGTGTTTCAAAACTGCTCTCTATCAATGGCAAAGTTCAACTCTGTTAGTTGAGGACACATATCACCAACAAGTTTTCTGAGAATGCTTTCTGTCTATTTTTTATGGGAAGATATTTCCGTTTTCACCGTAGGCGTCAAGGCGATCGAAATGTCCACTTCCACAAACTACAAAAAGAGTGTTTCAAACCTGCTCTATGAAAGGCCATGTTCATCTCTATGAGTTGAATGGAAATATCCGAAAGAAATTTCTGGGAATGCTGCTGTCTAGTTTTTATACGAATTCCCGCTTCCAACGAAATCCTCAAAGCAATCCAAATATCCACTTGCAGAATCCACAAAAAGAGTGTTTCAAAACTGCTCTATCAATAGAAAGGTTCAACTCTTTTAGTTGAGTACACACATCACAAACAAGTTTCTGAGAATGCTTCTGTCTGGCTTTTATTGGAAGACGTTTCCTTTTCACCAAAGGCATCAAAGCGCTCCAAATGTCCACTTCCAGATTCTTCCAAAAGAGTGTTTGAAACGTGCTCAAAGTAAGGGAATGTTCAACTCTGTGACTTGAATGCAGATATCACCAAGTAGTTTCTAATAGTGCTTCTGTCTACATTTTAGATGATGATATTCCCGTTTCCAACGAAATCGTTAGAGCTATCCAAATATCCAGTTACAGTTTCTACCAAAAGGGTGTTTCCAAATTGCTGCATCAAAAGAAAGGTTCAACTCTGTTAGTTGAGGACACACATCACAAAGAAGTTTGTGAGAATGCTTCTGTCTAGATTTTGTATGACGATATTCCCTTTTCCAACGATATCGTTAAAGCAATCTAAATATCAATTTGCAGAATCCACAAAAATAGAGTTTCAAAGCTGCTCTGTAAAAATAAAGGTTCCACTCTGTTAGCTGAGTACACACATCACAAACTTGTTTCTGAGAATCCTTCTGTCTCGTTTTTATGGGAAGATATTTACTTTTTCACCGTAGGCATCAAAGCGCTCCAAATGTCCACATCCAGATACTCCAGAAAGAGTGTTTCAAACCTGCTCTATGAAAGGGAATCTTCAACTCTATGAGTTGAATGCAGACATCAGAAAGAAATTTCTGAGAATGCTGCTGTCTACCTTTTATTTGAATTCCCTCTTCCAACGAAATCCTCCAAGCTATCCAAATATCCACTTGCATTTTCCACAAAAAGAGTGTTTCAAAACTGCTCTATCAATAGAAATGTTCAACTCCTTTAGCTGGGTAGACACATCACAAACAAGTTTCTGAGAATGCTTCTGTCTAGTTTTTATGGGTAGACATTCCCTTTTTCACCAAAGGCATCAAAGCGCTCCAAATGTCCACTTCCAGACACTACAAAAAGAGTGTTTCCAACGTGCTCTAAGAAAGCGAATGTTCAACTCTGTGACTTGAATGCAGATATCACAAAGTAGTTTCTGAGAGGGCTTCTGTCTAGATTTTAGATGATGATATTCCCGTTTCCAACGAAATCATTAGCAGCTATCCAAATATCCACTTACAGTTTCTACAAAAAGAGTGTTTCCAAACTGCTGCATCAAAACAGAGGTTCCACTCTGTTAGCTGAGTACACACATCACAAACTTGTTTCTCAGAATCCTTCTGTCTAGCTTTTATGGGAAGATATTTACTTTTTCACCGTAGGCATCAAAGCTTTCCAAATGTCCACTTCCAGATAATACAGAAAGAGTGTCTCAAACCTGCTCTATGAAAGGGAATGTTCAACTCTATGAGTTGAATGCAAACATCAGAAGGAAATTTCTGAGAATGCTGCTGTCTACCTTTTATTTGAATTCCCGCTTCCAACGAAATCCTCCAAGCTATCCAAATATCCACTTGCAGATTCCACAAAAAGAGTGTTTCAAAACTGCTCTCTATCAATGGCAAAGTTCAAGTCTGTTAGTTGAGGACACATATCACCAACAAGTTTCTGAGAATGCTTCTGTCTATTTTTTATGGGAAGATATTTCCTTTTTCACCGTAGGCGTCAAGGCGATCGAAATGTCCACTTCCACAAACTACAAAAAGAGTGTTTCAAACCTGCTCTATGAAAGGCCATGTTCATCTCTATGAGTTGAATGGAAATATCCGAAAGAAATTTCTGGGAATGCTGCTGTCTAGTGTTTATACGAATTCCCGCTTCCAACGAAATCCTCAAAGCAATCCAAATATCCACTTGCAGAATCCACAAAAAGAGTGTTTCAAAACTGCTCTATCAATAGAAAGGTTCAACTCTTTTAGTTGAGTACACACATCACCAACAAGTTTCTGAGAATGCTTCTGTCTGGCTTTTATTGGAAGACGTTTCCTTTTCACCAAAGGCATCAAAGCGCTCCAAATGTCCACTTCCAGATTCTTCCAAAAGAGTGTTTCAAACGTGCTCGAAGTAAGGGAATGTTCTACTCTGTGACTTGAATGCAGATATCACCAGGTAGTTTCTAATAGTGCTTCTGTCTAGATTTTAGATGATGATATTCCCGTTTCCAACGAAATCGTTATAGCTATCCAAATATCCACTTACAGTTTCTACAAAAAGAGTGTTTCCAAACTGCTGCATCAAAAGAAAGGTTCAACTCTGTTAGTTGAGGACACACATCACAAAGAAGTTTGTGAGAAAGCTTCTGTCTAGATTTTGTATGACCATATTCCCTTTTCCAGCGATATCATTAAAGCAATCTAAATATGCATTTGCAGAATCCACAAAAATAGAGTTTCAAAGCTGCTCTGTAAAAAGAAAGGTTCCACTCTGTTAGCTGAGTACACACATCACAAACTTGTCTCTCAGAATCCTTCTGTCTCGTTTTTATGGGAAGATATTTACTTTTTCACCGTAGGCATCAAAGCGCTCCAAATGTCCACATCCAGATACTCCAGAAACAGTGTTTCAAACCTGCTCTATGAAAGGGAATGTTCAACTCTATGAGTTGAATGCAGACATCAGAAAGAAATTTCTGAGAATGCTGCTGTCTACCTTTTATTGAATTCCCGCTTCCAACGATATCCTCCAAGCTATCCAAATATCCACTTGCATTTTCCACAAAAAGAGTGTTTCAAAACTGCTCTATCAATAGAAATGTTCAACTCCTTTAGCTGGGTACACACATCACAAACAAGTTTCTGAGAATGCTTCTGTCTAGTTTTTATGGGAAGACATTCCCTTTTTCACCAAAGGCATCAAAGCGCTCCAAATGTCCACTTCCAGACACTACAAAAGGAGTGTTTCCAACGTGCTCTAAGAAACCGAATGTTCAACTCTGTGACTTGAATGCAGATATCACAAAGTAGTTTCTGAGAGGGCTTCTGTCTAGATTTTAGATGATGATATTCCCGTTTCCAACGAAATCATTAGATCTATCCAAATATCCACTTACAGTTTCTACAAAAAGAGTGTTTCCAAACTGCTGCATCAAAAGAGAGGTTCCACTCTGTTAGCTGAGTACACACATCACAAACTTGTTTCTCAGAATCCTTCTGTCTCGTTTTTCTGGGAAGATATTTACTTTTTCACCGTAGGCATCAAAGCGCTCCAAATGTCCACATCCAGATACTCCAGAAGGAGTGTTTCAAACCTGCTCTATGAAAGGGAATCTTCAACTCTATGAGTTGAATGCAGACATCAGAAAGAAATTTCTGAGAATGCTGCTGTCTACCTTTTATTTGAATTCCCGCTTCCAACGAAATCCTCCAAGCTATCCAAATATCCACTTGCAGATTCCACAAAAAGAGTGTTTCAAAAACTGCTCTCTATCAATGGCAAAGTTCAACTCTGTTAGTTGAGGACACATATCACCAACAAGTTTCTGAGAATGCTTCTGTCTATTTTTTATGGGAAGATATTTCCTTTTTCACCGTAGGCGTCAAGGCGATCGAAATGTCCACTTCCACAAACTACAAAAAGAGTGTTTCAAACCTGCTCTATGAAAGGCCATGTTCATCTCTATGAGTTGAATGGAAATATCCGAAAGAAATTTCTGGGAATGCTGCTGTCTAGTGTTTATACGAATTCCCGCTTCCAACGAAATCCTCAAAGCAATCCAAATATCCACTTGCAGAATCCACAAAAAGAGTGTTTCAAAACTGCCCTATCAATAGAAAGGTTCAACTCTTTTAGTTGAGTACACACATCACGAACAAGTTTCTCAGAATGCTTCTGTCTGGCTTTTATTGTAAGACGTTTCCTTTTCACCAAAGGCATCAAAGCGCTCCAAATGTCCACTTCCAGATTCTTCCAAAAGAGTGTTTGAAACGTGCTCAAAGTAAGGGAATGTTCAACTCTGTGACTTGAATGCAGATATCACCAAGTAGTTTCTAATAGTGCTTCTGTCTAGATTTTAGATGATGATATTCCCGTTTCCAACGAAATCGTTAGAGCTATCCAAATATCCACTTACAGTTTCTACAAAAAGAGTGTTTCCAAACTGCTGCATCAAAAGAAAGGTTCAACTCTGTTAGTTGAGGACACACGTCACAAAGAAGTTTGTGAGAATGCTTCTGTCTAGATTTTGTATGAAGATATTCCCTTTTCCAACGATGTCGTTAAATCAACCCAAATATCAATTTGCAGAATCCACAGAAATAGAGTTTCAAAGCTGCTCTGTAAAAAGGAAGGATCCACTCTGTTAGCTGAGTACACACATCACAAACTTGTTTCTGAGAATCCTTCTGTCTCGTTTTTATGGGAAGATATTTTCTTTTCCACCGTAGGCATCAAAGCGCTCCAAATGTCCACATCCAGATACTCCAGAACGAGTGTTTCAAACCTGCTCTATGAAAGGGAATCTTCAACTCTATGAGTTGAATGCAGACATCAGAAAGAAATTTCTGAGAATGCTCCTGTCTACCTTTTATTTGAATTCCCGCTTCCAATGAAATCCTCCAAGCTATCCAAATATCCACTTGCATTTTCCACAAAAAGAGTGTTTCAAAACTGCTCTATCAATGGAAATGTTCAACTCCTTTAGCTGGGTACACACATCACAAACAAGTTTCTGAGAATGCTTCTGTCTAGTTTTTATGGGAAGACATTCCCTGTTTCACCAAAGGCATCAAAGCGCTCCAAATGTCCACTTCCTGACACTACAAAAAGAGTGTTTCAAACGTGCTCTAAGAAAGCGAATGTTCAACTCTCTGACTTGAATGCAGATATCACAAAGTAGTTTCTGAGAGGGCTTCTGTCTAGATTTTAGATGATGATATTCCCGTTTCCAACGAAATCATTAGAGCTATCCAAATATCCACTTACGGTTTCTACAAAAAGAGTGTTTCCAAACTGCTGCATCAAAAGAGAGGTTCCACTCTGTTAGCTGAGTACACACATCACAAACTTGTTTCTCAGAATCCTTCTGTCTCGTTTTTATGGGAAGATTATACTTTTTCACCGTAGGCATCAAAGCGCTCCAAATGTCCACATCCAGATACTCCAGAAAGAGTGTTTCAAACCTGCTCTATGAAAGGGAATCTTCAACTCTATGAGTTGAATGCAGACATCAGAAAGAAATTTCTGAGAATGCTGCTGTCTACCTTTAATTTGAATTCCCGCTTCCAACGAAATCCTCCAAGCTATCCAAATATCCACTTGCAGATTCCACAAAAAGAGTGTTTCAAAACTGCTCTCTATCAATGGCAAAGTTCAACTCTGTTAGTTGAGGACACATATCACCAACAATTTTCTGAGAATGCTTCTGTCAATTTTTTATGGGAAGATATTTCCTTTTTCACCGTAGGCATCAAGGCGATCGAAATGTCCACTTACACAAACTACAAAAAGAGTGTTTCAATATGAAAGGCCATGTTCATCTCTATGAGTTGAATGGAAATATCCGAAAGAAATTTCTGGGAATGTTGCTGTCTAGTGTTTATACGAATTCCCGCTTCCAACGAAATCCTCAAAGCAATCCAAATATCCACTTGCAGAATCCACAAAAAGAGTGTTTCAAAACTGCTCTATCAATAGAAAGGTTCAACTCTTTTAGTTGAGTACACACATCACGAACAAGTTTCTGAGAATGCTTCTGTGTGGCTTTTATTGGAAGACGTTTCCTTTTCACCAAAGGCATCAAAGCGCTCCAAATGTCCACTTCCAGATTCTTCCAAAAGAGTGTTTCAAACGTGCTCAAAGTAAGGGAATGTTCAACTCTGTGACTTGAATGCAGATATCACCAAGTAGTTTCTAATAGTGCTTCTGTCTACATTTTAGATGATGATATTCCCGTTTCCAACGAAATCGTTAGAGCTATCCAAATATCCAGTTACAGTTTCTACCAAAAGGGTGCTTCCAAATTGCTGCATCAAAAGAAAGGTTCAACTCTGTTAGTTGAGGACACACATCACAAAGAAGTTTGTGAGAATGCTTCTGTCTAGATTTTGTATGACGGTATTCCCTTTTCCAACGATATCGTTAAAGCAATCTAAATATCAATTTGCAGAATCCACAACAATAGAGTTTCAAAGCTGCTCTGTAAAAAGAAAGGTTCCACTCTGTTAGCTGAGTACACACATCACAAACTTGTTTCTGAGAATCCTTTCTGTCTCGTTTTTCTGGGAAGATATTTACTTTTTCACCGTAGGCATCAAAGCGCTCCAAATGTCCACATCCAGATACTCCAGAAAGAGTGTTTCAAACCTGCTCTATGAAAGGGAATCTTCAACTCTATGAGTTGAATGCAGACATCAGAAAGAAATTTCTGAGAATGCTGGCTGTCTACCTTTTATTTGAATTCCCGCTTCCAACGAAATCCTTCAAGCTATCCAAATATCCACCTGCATTTTCCACAAAAAGAGTGTTTCAAAACTGCTCTATCAATAGAAATGTTCAACTCCTTTGGCTGGGTACACACATCACAAACAAGTTTCTGAGAATGCTTCTGTCTAGTTTTTATGGGAAGACGTTCCCTTTTTCACCAAAGGCATCAAAGTGCTCCAAATGTCCACTTCCAGACACTACAAAAAGAGTGTTTCAAACGTGCTCTAAGAAAGCGAATGTTCAACTCTGTGACTTGAATGCAGATATCACAAAGTAGTTTCTGAGAGTGCTTGTGTCTAGATTTTGTATGACGATATTCCCTTTTCCAACGATATCGTTAAAGCAATCTAAATATCAATTTGCAGAATCCACAAAAATAGAGTTTCAAAGCTGCTCTGTAAAAAGAAAGGTTCCACTCTGTTAGCTGAGTACACACATCACAAACTTGTTTCTCAGAATCCTTCTGTCTCGTTTTTATGGGAAGATATTTACTTTTTCACCGTAGGCATCAAAGCGCTCCAAATGTCCACGTCCAGATACTCCAGAAAGAGTGTTTCAAACCTGCTCTATGAAAGGGAATCTTCAACTCTATGAGTTGAATGCAGACATCAGAAAGAAATTTCTGAGAATGCTGCTGTCTACCTTTTATTTGAATTCCCGCTTCCAACGAAATCCTCCAAGCTATCCAAATATCCACTTGCAGATTCCACAAAAAGAGTGTTTCAAAACTGCTCTCTATCAATGGCAAAGTTCAACTCTGTTAGTTGAGGACACATATCACCAACAAGTTTCTGAGAATGCTTCTGTCTATTTTTTATGGGAAGATATTTCCTTTTTCACCGTAGGCGTCAAGGCGATCGAAATGTCCACTTCCACAAACTACAAAAAGAGTGTTTCAAACCTGCTCTATGAAAGGCCATGTTCATCTCTATGAGTCGAATGGAAATATCCGAAAGAAATTTCTGGGAATGCTGCTGTCTAGTTTTTATACGAATTCCCGCTTCCAACGAAATCCTCAAAGCAATCCTAATATCCACTTGCAGAATCCACAAAAAGAGTGTTTCAAAACTGCTCTATCAATAGAAAGGTTCAACTCTTTTAGTTGAGTACACACATCACAAACAAGTTTCTGAGAATGCTTCTGTCTGGCTTTTATTGGAAGACGTTTCCTTTTCACCAAAGGCATCAAAGCGCTCCAAATGTCCACTTCCAGATTCTTCCAAAAGAGTGTTTGAAACGTGCTCAAAGTAAGGGAATGTTCAACTCTGTGACTTGAATGCAGATATCACCAAGTAGTTTCTAATAGTGCTTCTGTCTAGATTTTAGATGATGATATTCCCGTTTCCAACGAAATCGTTAGAGCTATCCAAATATCCACTTACAGTTTCTACAAAAACAGTGTTTCCAAACTGCTGCATCAAAAGAAAGGTTCAACTCTGTTAGTTGAGGACACACGTCACAAAGAAGTTTGTGAGAATGCTTCTGTCTAGATTTTGTATGAAGATATTCCCTTTTCCAATGATATCTTTAAATCAACACAAATATCAATTTGCAGGATCCACAAAAACAGTTTCAAAGCTGCTCTGTAAAAAGAAAGGTTCCACTCTGTTAGCTGAGTACACACATCACAAACTTGCTTCTGAGAATCCTTCTGTCTCGTTTTTATGGGAAGATATTTACTTTTTCACCGTAGGCATCAAAGCGCTCCAAATGTCCACATCCAGATACTCCAGAAAGAGTGTTTCAAACCTGCTCTATGAAAGGGAATCTTCAACTCTATGAGTTGAATGCAGACATCAGAAAGAAATTTCTGAGAATGCTTGCTGTCTACCTTTTATTTGAACTCCCGCTTCCAACGAAATCCTCCAAGCTATCCAAATATCCACTTGCATTTTCCACAAAAAGAGTGCTTCAAAACTGCTCTATCAATAGAAATGTTCAACTCCTTTAGCTGGGTGCACACATCACAAACAAGTTTCTGAGAATGCTTCTGTCTAGTTTTTATGGGAAGACATTCCCTTTTTCACCAAAGGCATCAAAGCGCTCCAAATGTCCACTTCCAGACACTACAAAAAGTGTGTTTCAAACGTGCTCTAAGAAACCGAATGTTCAACTCTGTGACTTGAATGCAGATATCACAAAGTAGTTTCTGAGAGGGCTTCTGTCTAGATTTTAGATGATGATATTCCCGTTTCCAACGAAATCATTAGAGCTATCCAAATATCCACTTACAGTTTCTACAAAAAGAGTGTTTCCAAACTGCTGCATCAAAAGAGAGGTTCCACTCTGTTAGCTGAGTACACACATCACAAACTTGTTTCTCAGAATCCTGCTGTCTACCTTTTATTTGAATTCCCGCTTCCAACGAAATCCTCCAAGCTATCCAAATATCCACTTGCAGATTCCACAAAAAGAGTGTTTCAAAACTGCTCTCTATCAATGGCAAAGTTCAACTGTGTTAGTTGAGGACACATATCACCAACAAGTTTCTGAGAATGCTTCTGTCTATTTTTTATGGGAAGATATTTCCTTTTTCACCGTAGGCGGTCAAGGCGATCGAAATGTCCACTTCCACAAACTACAAAAAGAGTGTTTCAAACCTGCTCTATGAAAGGCCATGTTCATCTCTATGAGTTGAATGGAAATATCCGAAAGAAATTTCTGGGAATGCTGCTGTCTAGTGTTTATACGAATTCCCGCTTCCAACGAAATCCTCAAAGCAATCCAAATATCCACTTGCAGAATCCACAAAAAGAGTGTTTCAAAACTGCTCTATCAATAGAAAGGTTCAACTCTTTTAGTTGAGTACACACACCACGAACATGTTTCTGAGAATGCTTCTGTCTGGCTTTTATTGGAAGACGTTTCCTTTTCACCAAAGGCATCAAAGCGCTCCAAATGTCCACTTCCAGATTCTTCCAAAAGAGTGTTTCAAACGTGCTCAAAGTAAGGGAATGTTCAACTCTTTGACTTGAATGCAGATATCACCAAGTAGTTTCTAATAGTGCTTTCTGCCTACATTTTAGATGATGATATTCCCTTTTCCAACGAAATCGTTAGCAGCTATCCAAATATCCAGTTACAGTTTCTACCAAAAGGGTGTTTCCAAATTGCTGCATCAAAAGAAAGGTTCAACTCTGTTAGTTGAGGACACACATCACAAAGAAGTTTGTGAGAATGCTTCTGTCTATATTTTGTATGAGGATATTCCCTTTTCCAACGATATCGTTAAAGCAATCTAAATATCAATTTGCAGAATCCACAAAAATAGAGTTTCAAAGCTGCTCTGTAAAAAGAAAGGTTCCACTCTGTTAGCTGAGTACACACATCACAAACTTGTTTCTCAGAATCCTTCTGTCTCGTTTTTATGGGAAGATATTTACTTTTTCACCGTAGGCATCCAAGCGCTCCAAATGTCCACATCCAGATACTCCAGAAAGAGTGTTTCAAACCTGCTTTATGAAAGGGAGTCTTCAACTCTATGAGTTGAATGCAGACATCAGAAGGAAATTTCTGAGAATGCTGCTGCTGTCTACCTTTTATTTGAATTCCCGCTTCCAACGAAATCCTCCAAGCTATCCAAATATCCACCTGCATTTTCCACAAAAAGAGTGTTTCAAAACTGCTCTATCAATAGAAATGTTCAACTCCTTTGGCTGGGTACACACATCACAAACAAGTTTCTGAAAATGCTTCTGTCTACTTTTTAAGGGAAGACATTTCCTTTTTCACCAAAGGCATCAAAGCGCTCCAAATGTCCACTTCCAGATTCTACAAAAAGAGTGTTTCAAACCTGCTCTAAGTAAGGGAGTTTTCAACCCTGTGACTGGAATGCAGATATCACAAAGTAGTTTCTGAGACTGCTTCTGTGTATACTTTAGATGAAGATATTCCCGTTTCCAACGATATCGTTAGACCTACCCAAATATCCACTTACAGTTTCTACAGAAAGTGTGTTTCCAAACTGCTGCATCAAAAGAAAGGTTCAACTCTGTTAGTTGAGGACACACATCACAAAGAAGTTTCTGAGAAAGCTTCTGTCTCGTTTTTATGGGAAGATATTTACTTTTTCACCATAGGCATCAAAGCGCTCCAAATGTCCACGTCCAGATACTCCAGAAAGAGTGTTTCAAACCTCCTCTATGAAAGGGAATCTTCAACTCTATGAGTTGAATGCAGACATCAGAAAGAAATTTCTGAGAATGCTGCTGTCTACCTTTTATTTGAATTCCCGCTTCCAACGAAATCCTCCAAGCTATCCAAATATCCACTTGCATTTTCCACAAAAAGAGTGTTTCAAAACTGCTCTATCAATAGAAATGTTCAACTCCTTTAGCTGGGTACACACATCACAAACAAGTTTCTGAGAATGCTTCTGTCTAGTTTTTATGGGAAGACATTCCCTTTTTCACCAAAGGCATCAAAGCGCTCCAAATGTCCACTTCCAGACACTACAAAAAGAGTGTTTCCAACGTGCTCTAAGAAAGCGAATGTTCAACTCTGTGACTTGAATGCAGATATCACAAAGTAGTTTCTGAGACGGCTTCTGTCTAGATTTTAGATGATGATATTCCCGTTTCCAACGAAATCATTAGAGCTATCCAAATATCCACTTACAGTTTCTACAAAAAGAGTGTTTCCAAACTGCTGCATCAAAAGAGAGGTTCCACTCTGTTAGCCGAGTACACACATCACAAACTTGTTTCTCAGAATCCTTCTGTCTCGTTTTTATGGGAAGATATTTACTTTTTCACCGTAGGCATCAAAGCGCTCCAAATGTCTACATCCAGATAGTACAGAAAGAGTTTTTCAAACCTGCTCTATGAAAGGGAATCTTCAACTCTATGAGTTGAATGCAGACATCAGAAAGAAATTTCTGAGAATGCTGCTGTCTACCTTTTATTTGAATTCCCGCTTCCAACGAAATCCTCCAAGCTATCCAAATATCCACTTGCAGATTCAGGCAAAAGAGTGTTTCAAAACTGCTCTCTATCAATGGCAAAGTTCAACTCTGTTAGTTGAGGACACATATCACCAACAAGTTTCTGAGAATGCTTCTGTCTATTTTTTATGGGAAGATATTTCCTTTTTCACCGTAGGCGTCAAGGCGATCGAAATGTCCACTTCCACAAACTACAAAAAGAGTGTTTCAAACCTGCTCTATGAAAGGCCATGTTCATCTCTATGAGTTGAATGGAAATATCCGAAAGAAATTTCTGGGAATGCTGCTGTCTAGTTTTTATATGAATTCCCGCTTCCAACGAAATCCTCAAAGCAATCCAAATATCCACTTGCAGAATCCACAAAAAGAGTGTTTCAAAACTGCTCTATCAATAGAAAGGTTCAACTCCTTTAGTTGAGTACACACATCACAAACAAGTTTCTGAGAATGCTTCTGTCTGGCTTTTATTGGAAGACGTTTCCTTTTCACCAAAGGCATCAAAGCGCTCCAAATGTCCACTTCCAGATTCTTCCCAAAGAGTGTTTCAAACGTGCTCAAAGTAAGGGAATGTTCAACTCTGTGACTTGAATGCAGATATCACCAAGTAGTTTCTAATAGTGCTTCTGTCTAGATTTTAGATGATGATATTCCCGTTTCCAACGAAATCGTTAGAGCTATCCAAATATCCACTTACAGTTTCTACCAAAAGGGTGTTTCCAAACTGCTGCATCAAAAGAAAGGTTCAAGTCTGTTAGTTGAGGACACACATCACAAAGAAGTTTGTGAGAATGCTTCTGTCTAGATTTTGTATGACGATATTCCCTTTTCCAACGATATCGTTAAAGCAATCTAAATATCAATTTGCAGAATCCACAAAAATAGAGTTTCAAAGCTGCTCTGTAAAAAGAAAGGTTCCACTCTGTTAGCTGAGTACACACATCACAAACTTGTTTCTCAGAATCCTTCTGTCTCGTTTTTATGGGAAGATATTTACTTTTTCACCGTAGGCATCAAAGCGCTCCAAATGTCCACATCCAGATATTCCAGAAAGACTGTTTCAAACCTGCTCTATGAAAGGGAATCTTCAACTCTATGAGTTGAATGCAGACATCAGAAAGAAATTTCTGAGAATGCTGCTGTCTACTTTTTATTTGAATTCCCGCTTCCCACGAAATCCTCCAAGCTATCCAAATATCCACCTGCATTTTCCACAAAAAGAGTGTTTCAAAACTGCTCTATCAATAGAAATGTTCAACTCCTTTAGCTGGGTAGACACATCACAAACAAGTTTCTGAGAATGCTTCTGTCTAGTTTTTATGGGAAGACATTCCCTTTTTCACCAAAGGCATCAAAGCGCTCCAAATGTCCACTTCCAGACACTACAAAAAGAGTGTTTCCAACGTGCTCTAAGAAAGCGAATGTTCAACTCTGTGACTTGAATGCAGATATCACAAAGTAGTTTCTAATAGTGCTTCTGTCTAGATTTTAGATGATGATATTCCCGTTTCCAAAGAAATCATTAGAGCTATCCAAATATCCACTTACAGTTTCTACAAAAAGAGTGTTTCCAAACTGCTGCATCAAAAGAGAGGTTCCACTCTGTTAGCTGAGTACACACATCACAAACTTGTTTCTCAGAATCCTTTCTGTCTCGTTTTTATGGGAAGATATTTACTTTTTCACCGTAGGCATCAAAGCGCTCCAAATGTCCACATCCAGATACTCTGAACGAGTGTTTCAAACCTGCTCTATGAAAGGGAATCTTCAACTCTATGAGTTGAATGCAGACATCAGAAAGAAATTTCTGAGAATGCTGCTGTCTACCTTTTATTTGAATTCCCGCTTCCAACGAAATCCTCCAAGCTATCCAAATATCCACTTGCAGATTCCACAAAAAGAGTGTTTCAAAACTGCTCTCTATCAATGGCAAAGTTCAACTCTGTTAGTTGAGGACACATATCACCAACAAGTTTCTGAGAATGCTTCTGTCTATTTTTTATGGGTAGATATTTCCTTTTTCACCGTAGGCGTCAAGGCGATCGAAATGTCCACTTCCACAAACTACAAAAAGAGTGTTTCAAACCTGCTCTATGAAAGGCCATGTTCATCTCTATGAGTTGAATGGAAATATCCGAAAGAAATTTCTGGGAATGCTGCTGTCTAGTTTTTATATGAATTCCCGCTTCCAACGAAATCCTCAAAGCAATCCAAATATCCACTTGCAGAATCCACAAAAAGAGTGTTTCAAAACTGCTCTATCAATAGAAAGGTTCAACTCTTTTAGTTGAGTACACACATCACAAACAAGTTTGCTGAGAATGCTTATCTGTCTGGCTTTTATTGGAAGACGTTTCCTTTTCACCAAAGGCATCAAAGCGCTCCAAATGTCCACTTCCAGATTCTTCCAAAAGAGTGTTTGAAACGTGCTCAAAGTAAGGGAATGTTCAACTCTGTGACTTGAATGCAGATATCACCAAGTAGTTTCTAATAGTGCTTCTGTCTAGATTTTAGGTGAGGATATTCCCGTTTCCAACGAAATCGTTAGAGCTATCCAAATATCCAGTTACAGTTTCTACCAAAAGGGTGTTTCCAAATTGCTGCATCAAAAGAAAGGTTCAACTCTGTTAGTTGAGGACACACATCACAAAGAAGTTTGTGAGAATGCTTCTGTCCAGATTTTGTATGACGATATTCCCTTTTCCAACGATATCATTAAAGCAATCTAAATATCCATTTGCAGAATCCACAAAAATAGAGTTTCAAAGCTGCTCTGTAAAAAGAAAGGTTCCACTCTGTTAGCTGAGTACACACATCACAAACTTGTCTCTCAGAATCCTTCTGTCTCGTTTTTATGGGAAGATATTTACTTTTTCACCGTAGGCATCAAAGCGCTCCAAATGTCCACATCCAGATACTCCAGAAAGAGTGTTTCAAACCTGCTCTATGAAAGGGAATCTTCAACTCTATGAGTTGAATGCAGACATCAGAAAGAAATTTCTGAGAATGCTGCTGTCTACCTTTTATTTGAATTCCCGCTTCCAACGAAATCCTCCAAGCTATCCAAATATCCACCTGCAGATTCCACAAAAAGAGTGTTTCAAAACTGCTCTATCAATAGAAATGTTCAACTCCTTTAGCTGGGTACACACATCACAAACAAGTTTCTGAGAATGCTTCTGTCTAGTTTTTATGGGAAGACATTCCCTTTTTCACCAAAGGCATCAAAGCGCTCCAAATGTCCACTTCCAGACACTACAAAAAGAGTGTTTCAAACGTGCTCTAAGAAAGCGAATATTCAACTCTGTGACTTGAATGCAGATATCACAAAGTAGTTTCTGAGAGGGCTTCTGTCTAGATTTTAGATGATGATATTCCCGTTTCCAACGAAATCATTAGAGCTATCCAAATATCCACTTACAGTTTCTACAAAAAGAGTGTTTCCAAACTGCTGCATCAAAAGAGAGGTTCCACTCTGTTAGCTGAGTACACACATCACAAACTTGTTTCTCAGAATCCTTCTGTCTAGCTTTTATGGGAAGATATTTCCTTTTTCACCGTAGGCATCAAAGCGATCCCAATGTCCACTTCCAGATAGTACAGAAAGAGTGTTTCAAACCTGCTCTATGAAAGGGAATCTTCAACTCTATGAGTTGAATGCAGACATCAGAAAGTAATTTCTGAGAATGCTGCTGTCTACCTTTTATTTGAATTCCCGCTTCCAACGAAATCCTCCAAACTATCCAAATATCCACTTGCAGATTCAGGAAAAAGAGTGTTTCAAAACTGCTCTCTATCAATGGCAAAGTTCAACTCTGTTAGTTGAGGACACATATCACCAACAAGTTTCTGAGAATGCTTCTGTCTATTTTTTATGGGAAGATATTTCCTTTTTCAGCGTAGGCGTCAAGGCGATCGAAATGTCCACTTCCACAAACTACAAAAAGAGTGTTTCAAACCTGCTCTATGAAAGGCCATGTTCATCTCTATGAGTTGAATGGAAATATCCGAAAGAAATTTCTGGGAATGCTGCTGTCTAGTTGTTATACGAATTCCCGCTTCCAACGAAATCCTCAAAGCAATCCACATATCCACTTGCAGAATCCACAAAAAGAGTGTTTCAAAACTGCTCCATCAATAGAAAGGTTCAACTCTTTTAGTTGAGTACACACATCACAAACAAGTTTCTGAGAATGCTTCTGTCTGGCTTTTATTGGAAGACGTTTCCTTTTCACCAAAGGCATCAAAGCGCTCCAAATGTCCACTTCCAGATTCTTCCAAAAGAGTGTTTCAAACGTGCTCAAAGTAAGGGAATGTTCAACTCTGTGACTTGAATGCAGATATCACCAAGTAGTTTCTAATAGTGCTTCTGTCTAGATTTTAGATGATGATATTCCCGTTTCCAACGAAATCGTTAGAGCTATCCAAATATCCACTTACAGTTTCTACAAAAAGAGTGTTTCCAAACTGCTGCATCAAAAGAAAGGTTCAACTCTGTCAGTTGAGGAGACACATCACAAAGAAGTTTGTGAGAATGCTTCTGTCTAGATTTTGTATGACCATATTCCCTTTTCCCAACGATATCGTTAAAGCAATCTAAATATCCATTTGCAGAATCCACAAAAATAGAGTTTCAAAGCTGCTCTGTAAAAAGAAAGGTTCCACTCTGTTAGCTGAGTACACACATCACAAACTTGTCTCTCAGAATCCTTCTGTCTCGTTTTTATGGGAAGATATTTACTTTTCCACCGTAGGCATCAAAGCGCTCCAAATGTCCACATCCGGATACTCCAGAACGAGTGTTTCAAACCTGCTCTATGAAAGGGAATCTTCAACTCTATGAGTTGAATGCAGACATCAGAAAGAAATTTCTGAGAATGCTGCTGTCTACCTTTTATTTGAATTCCCGCTTCCAACGAAATCCTCCAAGCTATCCAAATATCCACCTGCATTTTCCACAACAAGAGTGTTTCAAAACTGCTCTATCAATAGAAATGTTCAACTCCTTTGGCTGGGTACACACATCACAAACAAGTTTGCTGAGAATGCTTCTGTCTAGTTTTTATGGGAAGACGTTCCCTTTTTCACCAAAGGCATCAAAGCGCTCCAAATGTCCACTTCCAGACACTACAAAAAGAGTGTTTCAAACGTGCTCTAAGAAAGCGAATGTTCAACTCTGTGACTTGAATGCAGATATCACAAAGTAGTTTACTGAGAGGGCTTCTGTCTAGATTTTAGATGATGATATTCCCGTTTCCAATGAAATCATTAGAGCTATCCAAATATCCACTTACAGTTTCTACAAAAAGAGTGTTTCCAAACTGCTGCATCAAAAGAGAGGTTCCACTCTGTTAGCTGAGTACACACATCACAAACTTGTTTCTCAGAATCCTTCTGTCTCGTTTTTATGGGAAGATATTTACTTTTACACCGTAGGTATCAAAGCGCTCCAAATGTCCACATCCAGATACTCCAGAAAGAGTGTTTCAAACCTGCTCTATGAAAGGGAATCTTCAACTCTATGAGTTGAATGCAGACATCAGAAAGAAATTTCTGAGAATGCTGCTGTCTACCTTTTATTTGAATTCCCGCTTCCAACGAAATCCTCCAAGCTATCCAAATATCCACTTGCAGATTCCACAAAAAGAGTGTTTCAAAACTGCTCTCTATCAATGGCAAAGTTCAACTCTGTTAGTTGAGGACACATATCACCAACAAGTTTCTGAGAATGCTTCTGTCTATTTTTTATGGGAAGATATTTCCTTTTTCACCGTAGGCGTCAAGGCGATCGAAATGTCCAGTTCCACAAACTACAAAAAGAGTGTTTCAAACCTGCTCTATGAAAGGCCATGTTCATCTCTATGAGTTGAATGGAAATATCCGAAAGAAATTTCTGGGAATGCTGCTGTCTAGTTTTTATACGAATTCCCGCTTCCAACGAAATCCTCAAAGCAATCCAAATATCCACTTGCAGAATCCACAAAAAGAGTGTTTCAAAACTGCTCTATCAATAGAAAGGTTCAACTCTTTTAGTTGAGTACACACATCACAAACAAGTTTCTGAGAATGCTTCTGTCTGGCTTTTATTGGAAGACGTTTCCTTTTCACCAAAGGCATCAAAGCGCTCCAAATGTCCACTTCCAGATTCTTCCAAAAGAGTGTTTGAAACGTGCTCAAAGTAAGGGAATGTTCAACTCTGTGACTTGAATGCAGATATCACCAAGTAGTTTCTAATAGTGCTTCTGTCTAGATTTTAGATGATGATATTCCCGTTTCCAACGAAATCGTTAGAGCTATCCAAATATCCACTTACAGTTTCTACCAAAAGGGTGTTTCCAAACTGCTGCATCAAAAGAAAGGTTCAACTGTGTTAGTTGAGGACACACGTCACAAAGCTGTTTGTGAGAATGCTTCTGTCCAGATTTTGTATGACGATATTCCCTTTTCCAACGATATCGTTAAAGCAATCTAAATATCCATTTGCAGAATCCACAAAAATAGAGTTTCAAAGCTGCTCTGTAAAAAGAAAGGTTCCACTCTGTTAGCTGAGTACACACATCACAAACTTGTTTCTGAGAATCCTGCTGTCTACCTTTTATTTGAATTCCCGCTTCCAACGAAATCCTCCAAGCTATCCAAATATCCACCTGCATTTTCCACAACAAGAGTGTTTCAAAACTGCTCTATCAATAGAAATGTTCAACTCCTTTGGCTGGGTACACCCATCACAAACAAGACTCTGAGAATGCTTCTGTCTAGTTTTTATGGGAAGACATTCCCTTTTTCACCAAAGGCATCAAAGCGCTCCAAATGTCCACTTCCAGACACTACAAAAAGAGTGTTTCAAACGTGCTCTAAGAAAGCGAATGTTCAACTCTGTGACTTGAATGCAGATATCACAAAGTAGTTTCTGAGAGTGCTTCTGTCTAGATTTTAGATGATGATATTCCCGTTTCCAACGAAATCATTAGAGCTATCCAAATATCCACTTACTGTTTCTACAAAAAGAGTGTTTCCAAACTGCTGCATCAAAAGAGAGGTTCCACTCTGTTAGCTGAGTACACACATCACAAACTTGTTTCTCAGAATCCTTCTGTCTCGTTTTTTTGGGAAGATATTTACTTTTTCACCGTAGGCATCAAAGCGCTCCAAATGTCCACATCCAGATACTCCAGAAAGAGTGTTTCAAACCTGCTCTATGAAAGGGAATCTTCAACTCTATGAGTTGAATGCAGACATCAGAAAGAAATTTCTGAGAATGCTGCTGTCTACCTTTTATTTGAATTCCCGCTTCCAACGAAATCCTCCAAGCTATCCAAATATCCACTTGCAGATTCCACAAAAAGAGTGTTTCAAAACTGCTCTCTATCAATGGCAAAGTTCAACTCTGTTAGTTGAGGACACATATCACCAACAAGTTTCTGAGAATGCTTCTGTCTATTTTTTATGGGAAGATATTTCCTTTTTCACCGTAGGCGTCAAGGCAATCGAAATGTCCACTTCCACAAACTACAAAAAGAGTGTTTCAAACCTGCTCTATGAAAGGCCATGTTCATCTCTATGAGTTGAATGGAAATATCCGAAAGAAATTTCTGGGAATGCTGCTGTCTAGTGTTTATACGAATTCCCGCTTCCAACGAAATCCTCAAAGCAATCCAAATATCCACTTGCAGAATCCACAAAAAGAGTGTTTCAAAACTGCTCTATCAATAGAAAGGTTCAACTACTTTTAGTTGAGTACACACATCACGAACAAGTTTCTGAGAATGCTTTCTGTCTGGCTTTTATTGGAAGACGTTTCCTTTTCACCAAAGGCATCAAAGCGCTCCAAATGTCCACTTCCAGATTCTTCCAAAAGAGTGTTTCAAACGTGGTCGAAGTAAGGGAATGTTCAACTCTGTGACTTGAATGCAGATATCACCAAGTAGTTTCTAACAGTGCTTCTGTCTACATTTTAGATGATGATATTCCCGTTTCCAACGAAATCGCTAGAGCTATCCAAATATCCAGTTACAGTTTCTACCAAAAGGGTGTTTCCAAATTGCTGCATCAAAAGAAAGGTTCAACTCTGTTAGTTGAGGACACACATCACAAAGAAGTTTGTGAGAATGCTTCTGTCTAGATTTTGTATGACCATATTCCCTTTTCCAACGATATCGTTAAAGCAATCTAAATATCAATTTGCAGAATCCACAAAAATAGAGTTTCAAAGCTGCTCTGTAAAAAGAAAGGTTCCACTCTGTTAGCTGAGTACACACATCACAAACTTGTTTCTGAGAATCCTTCTGTCTCGTTTTTATGGGAAGATATTTACTTTTCCACCGTAGGCATCAAAGCGCTCCAAATGTCCACATCCATATACTCCAGAACGAGTGTTTCAAACCTGCTCTATGAAAGGGAATCTTCAACTCTATGAGTTGAATGCAGACATCAGAAAGAAATTTCTGAGAATGCTGCTGTCTACCTTTTATTTGAATTCCCGCTTCCAACGAAATCCTCCAAGCTATCCAAATATCCACCTGCATTTTCCACAAAAAGAGTGTTTCAAACCTGCTCTATCAATAGAAATGTTCAACTCCTTTGGCTGGGTACACACATCACAAACAAGTTTCTGAGAATGCTTCTGTCTAGTTTTTATGGGTAGACATTCCCTTTTTCACCAAAGGAATCAAAGCGCTCCAAATGTCCACTTCCAGACACTACAAAAAGAGTGTTTCCAACGTGCTCTAAGAAAGCGAATGTTCAACTCTGTGACTTGAATGCAGATATCACAAAGTAGTTTCTGAGAGTGCTTCTGTCTAGATTTTAGATGATGATATTCCCGTTTCCAACGAAATCATTAGAGCTATCCAAATATCCACTTACAGTTTCTACAAAAAGAGTGTTTCCAAACTGCTGCATCAAAAGAGAGGTTCCACTCTGTTAGCTGAGTACACACATCACAAACTTGTTTCTCAGAATCCTTCTGTCTCGTTTTTATGGGAAGATATTTACTTTCTCACCGTAGGCATCAAAGCGCTCCAAATATCCACATCCAGATACTCCAGAAAGAGTGTTTCAAACCTGCTCTATGAAAGGGAATCTTCAACTCTATGAGTTGAATGCAGACATCAGAAAGAAATTTCTGAGAATGCTGCTGTCTACCTTTTATTTGAATTCCCGCTTCCAACGAAATCCTCCAAGCTATCCAAATATCCACTTGCAGATTCCACAAAAAGAGTGTTTCAAAACTGCTCTCTATCAATGGCAAAGTTCAACTCTGTTAGTTGAGGACACATATCACCAACAAGTTTCTGAGAATGCTTCTGTCTATTTTTTATGGGAAGATATTTCCTTTTTCACCGTAGGCGTCAAGGCGATCGAAATGTCCACTTCCACAAACTACAAAAAGAGTGTTTCAAACCTGCTCTATGAAAGGCCATGTTCATCTTTATGAGTTGAATGGAAATATCCGAAAGAAATTTCTGGGAATGCTGCTGTCTAGTGTTTATACGAATTCCCGCTTCCAACGAAATCCTCAAAGCAATCCAAATATCCACTTGCAGAATCCACAAAAAGAGTGTTTCAAAACTGCTCTATCAATAGAAAGGTTCAACTCTTTTAGTTGAGTACACTCATCACAAACAAGTTTCTGAGAATGCTTCTGTCTGGCTTTTATTGGAAGACGTTTCCTTTTCACCAAAGGCATCAAAGCGCTCCAAATGTCCACTTCCAGATTCTTCCAAAAGAGTGTTTCAAACGTGCTCAAAGTAAGGGAATGTTCAACTCTGTGACTTGAATGCAGATATCACCAAGTAGTTTCTAATAGTGCTTCTGTCTACATTTTAGATGATGATATTCCCGTTTCCAATGAAATCGTTAGAGCTATCCAAATATCCACTTACAGTTTCTACAAAAAGAGTGTTTCCAAACTGCTGCATCAAAAGAAAGGTTCAACTCTGTTAGTTGAGGACACACATCACAAAGAAGTTTGTGAGAATGCTTCTGTCTAGATTTTGTATGATGATATTCCCTTTTCCATCGATATCGTTAAAGCAATCTAAATATCAATTTGCAGAATCCACAAAAATAGAGTTTCAAAGCTGCTCTGTAAAAAGAAAGGTTCCACTCTGTTAGCTGAGTACACACATCACAATCTTGTTTCTGAGAATCCTGCTGTCTACCTTTTATTTGAATTCCCGCTTCCAACGAAATCCTCCAAGGTATCCAAATATCCACCTGCATTTTCCACAAAAAGAGTGTTTCAAAACTGCTCTATCAATAGAAATGTTCAACTCCTTTGGCTGGGTACACACATCACAAACAAGTTTCTGAGAATGCTTCTGTCTAGTTTTTATGGGAAGACGTTCCCTTTTTCACCAAAGGCATCAAAGCGCTCCAAATGTCCACTTCCAGACACTACAAAAAGAGTGTTTCAAACGTGCTCTAAGAAAGCGCATGTTCAACTCTGTGACTTGAATGCAGATATCACAAAGTAGTTTCTGAGAGGGCTTCTGTCTAGTATTTTAGATGATGATATTCCCGTTTCCAACGAAATCATTAGAGCTATCCAAATATCCACTTACAGTTTCTACAAAAAGAGTGTTTCCAAACTGCTGCATCAAAACAGAGGTTCCACTCTGTTAGCTGAGTACACACATCACAAACTAGTTTCTCAGAATCCTCTGTCTCGTTTTTATGGGAAGATATTTACTTTTTCACCGTAGGCATCAAAGCGCTCCAAATGTCCACATCCAGATACTCCAGAAAGAGTGTTTCAAACCTGCTCTATGAAAGGGAATCTTCAACTCTATGAGTTGAATGCAGACATCAGAAAGAAATTCTGAGAATGCTGGCTGTCTACCTTTTATTTGAATTCCCGCTTCCAACGAAATCCTCCAGCTATCCAAATATCCACTTGCAGATTCCACAAAAAGAGTGTTTCAAAACTGCTCTCTATCAATGGCAAAGTTCAACTCTGTTAGTTGAGGACACATATCACCAACAAGTTTCTGAGAATGCTTCTGTCTATTTTTTATGGGAAGATATTTCCTTTTTCACCGTAGGCGTCAAGGCGATCGAAATGTCCACTTCCACAAACTACAAAAAGAGTGTTTCAAACCTGCTCTATGAAAGGCCATGTTCATCTCTATGAGTTGAATGGAAATATCCGAAAGAAATTTCTGGGAATGCTGCTGTCTAGTGTTTATATGAATTCCTGCTTCCAACGAAATCCTCAAAGCAATCCAAATATCCACTTGCAGAATCCACAAAAAGAGTGTTTCAAAACTGCTATATCAATAGAAAGGTTCAACTCTTTTAGTTGAGTACACACATCACGAACAAGTTTCTCAGAATGCTTCTGTCTGGCTTTTATTGGAAGACGTTTCCTTTTCACCAAAGGCATCAAAGCGCTCCAAATGTCCACTTCCAGATTCTTCCAAAAGAGTGTTTCAAACGTGCTCGAAGTAAGGGAATGTTCTACTCTGTGACTTGAATGCAGATATCACCAAGTAGTTTCTAATAGTGCTTCTGTCTACATTTTAGATGATGATATTCCCGTTTCCAACGAAATCGCTAGAGCTATCCAAATATCCAGTTACAGTTTCTACCAAAAGGGTGTTTCCAAATTGCTGCATCAAAAGAAAAGTTCAACTCTGTTAGTTGAGGACACACATCACAAAGAAGTTTGTGAGAATGCTTCTGTCTAGATTTTGTATGACCGTATTCCCTTTTCCAACGATATCGTTAAAGCAATCTAAATATCAATTTGCAGAATCCACAAAAATAGAGTTTCAAAGCTGCTCTGTAAAAAGAAAGGTTCCACTCTGTTAGCTGAGTACACACATCACAAACTTGTTTCTGAGAATCCTGCTGTCTACCTTTTATTTGAATTCCCGCTTCCAACGAAATCCTCCAAGCTATCCAAATATCCACCTGCATTTTCCACAACAAGAGTGTTTCAAAACTGCTGTATCAATAGAAACGTTCAACTCCTTTGGCTGGGTACACACATCACAAACAAGTTTCTGAGAATGCTTCTGTCTAGTTTTTATGGGAAGACGTTCCCTTTTTCACCAAAGGCATCAAAGCGCTCCAAATGTCCACTTCCAGACACTACAAAAAGAGTGTTTCCAACGTGCCCTAAGAAAGCGAATGTTCAACTCTGTGACTTGAATGCAGATATCACAAAGTAGTTTCTGAGAGGGCTTCTGTCTAGATTTTAGATGATGATATTCCCGTTTCCAACGAAATCATTAGAGCTATCCAAATATCCACTTACAGTTTCTACAAAAAGAGTGTTTCCAAACTGCTGCATCAAAAGAGAGGTTCCACTCTGTTAGCTGAGTACACACATCACAAACTTGTTTCTCAGAATCCTTCTGTCTCGTTTTTATGGGAAGATATTTACTTTTCCACCGTAGGCATCAAAGCGCTCCAAATGTCCACATCCAGATACTCCAGAACGAGTGTTTCAAACCTGCTCTATGAAAGGGAATCTTCAACTGCTATGAGTTGAATGCAGACATCAGAAAGAAATTTACTGAGAATGCTGCTGTCTACCTTTTATTTGAATTCCCGCTTCCAACGAAATCCTCCAAGCTATCCAAATATCCACTTGCATATTCCACAAAAAGAGTGTTTCAAAACTGCTCTCTATCAATGGCAAAGTTCAACTCTGTTAGTTGAGGACACATATCACCAACAAGTTTCTGAGAATGCTTCTGTCTATTTTTTATGGGAAGATATTTCCTTTTTCACCGTAGGCGTCAAGGCGATCGAAATGTCCACTTCCACAAACTACAAAAAGAGTGTTTCAAACCTGCTCTATGAAAGGCCATGTTCATCTCTATGAGTTGAATGGAAATATCCGAAAGAAATTTCTGGGAATGCTGCTGTCTAGTGTTTATACGAATTCCCGCTTCCAACGAAATCCTCAAAGCAATCCAAATATCCACTTGCAGAATCCACAAAAAGAGTGTTTCTAAACTGCTCTATCAATAGAAAGGTTCAACTCTTTTAGTTGAGTACACACATCACAAACAAGTTTCTGAGAATGCTTCTCTCTGGCTTTTATTGGAAGACGTTTCCTTTTCACCAAAGGCATCAAAGCGCTCCAAATGTCCACTTCCAGATTCTTCCAAAAGAGTGTTTCAAACGTGCTCAAAGTAAGGGAATGTTCAACTACTGTGACTTGAATACAGATATCACCAAGTAGTTTCTAATAGTGCTTCTGTCTAGTATTTTAGATGATGATATTCCCGTTTCCAACGAAATCGTTAGAGCTATCCAAATATCCACTTACAGTTGCTACAAAAAGAGTGTTTCCAAACTGCTGCATCAAAAGAAAGGTTCAACTCTGTTAGTTGAGGACACACATCACAAAGAAGTTTGTGAGAATGCTTCTGTCTAGATTTTGTATGACGATATTCCCTTTTCCAACGATATCGTTAAAGCAATCTAAATATCCATTTGCAGAATCCACAAAAATAGAGTTTCAAAGCTGCTCTGTAAAAAGAAAGGTTGCACTCTGTTAGCTGAGTACACACATCACAAACTTGTTTCTCAGAATCCTGCTGTCTACCTTTTATTTGAATTCCCGCTTCCAACGAAATCCTCCAAGCTATCCAAATATCCACTTGCAGATTCCACAAAAAGAGTGTTTCAAAACTGCTCTCTATCAATGGCAAAGTTCAACTCTGTTAGTTGAGGACACATATCACCAACAAGTTTCTGAGAATGCTTCTGTCTATTTTTTATGGGAAGATATTTCCTTTTTCAGCGTAGGCGCCAAGGCGATCGAAATGTCCACTTCCACAAACTACAAAAAGAGTGTTTCAAACCTGCTCTATGAAAGGCCATGTTCATCTCTATGAGTTGAATGGAAATATCCGAAAGAAATTTCTGGGAATGCTGCTGTCTAGTTTTTATATGAATTCCCGCTTCCAACGAAATCCTCAAAGCAATCCAAATATCCACTTGCAGAATCCACAAAAAGAGTGTTTCAAAACTGCTCTATCAATAGAAAGGTTCAACTCTTTTAGTTGAGTACACACATCACAAACAAGTTTCCTGAGAATGCTTTCTGTCTGGCTTTTATTGGAAGACGTTTCCTTTTCACCAAAGGCATCAAAGCGCTCCAAATGTCCACTTCCAGATTCTTCCAAAAGAGTGTTTCAAACGTGCTCAAAGTAAGGGAATGTTCAACTCTGTGACTTGAATGCAGATATCACCAAGTAGTTTCTAATAGTGCTTCTGTCTACATTTTAGATGATGATATTCCCGTTTCCAACGAAATCGCTAGAGCTATCCAAATATCCAGTTACAGTTTCTACCAAAAGGGTGTTTCCAAATTGCTGCATCAAAAGAAAGGTTCAACTCTGTTAGTTGAGGACACACATCACAAAGAAGTTTGTGAGAATGCTTCTGTCTATATTTTGTATGACGATATTCCCTTTTCCAACGATATCGTTAAAGCAATCTAAATATCAATTTGCAGAATCCACAAAAATAGAGTTTCAAAGCTGCTCTGTAAAAAGAAAGGTTCCACTCTGTTAGCTGAGTACACACATCACAAACTTGTTTCTGAGAATCCTTCTGTCTCGTTTTTATGGGAAGATATTTACTTTTTCACCGTAGGCATCAAAGCGCTCCAAATGTCCACATCCAGATACTCCAGAAAGAGTGTTTCAAACCTGCTCTATGAAAGGGAATCTTCAACTCTATGAGTTGAATGCAGACATCAGAAAGAAACTTCTGAGAATGCTGCTGTCTACCTTTTATTTGAATTCCCGCTTACAACGAAATCCTCCAAGCTATCCAAATATCCACTTGCATTTTCCACAAAAAGAGTGTTTCAAAACTGCTCTATCAATAGAAACGTTCAACTCCTTTAGCTGGGTACACACATCACAAACAAGTTTCTGAGAATGCTTCTGTCTAGTTTTTATGGGAAGACATTCCCTTTTTCACCAAAGCCATCAAAGCGATCCAAATGTCCACTTCCAGACACTACAAAAAGAGTGTTTCAAACGTGCTCTAAGAAAGCGAATGTTCAACTCTGTGACTTGAATGCAGATATCACAAAGTAGTTTCTGAGAGGGCTTCTGTCTAGATTTTAGATGATGATATTCCCGTTTCCAACGAAATCATTACAGCTATCCAAATATCCACTTACAGTTTCTAGAAAAAGAGTGTTTCCAAACTGCTGCATCAAAAGAGAGGTTCCACTCTGTTAGCTGAGTACACACATCACAAACTTGTTTCTCAGAATCCTTCTGTGTCGTTTTTATGTGAAGATATTTACTTTTTAACCGTAGGCATCCAAGCGCTCCAAATGTCCACATCCAGATACTCCAGAAAGAGTGTTTCAAACCTGCTCTATGAAAGGGAATCTTCAACTCTATGAGTTGAATGCAGACATCAGAAAGAAATTTCTGAGAATGCTGCTGTCTACCTTTTATTTGAATTCCCGCTTCCAACGAAATCCTCCAAACTATCCAAATATCCACTTGCAGATTCAGGAAAAAGAGTGTTTCAAAACTGCTCTCTATCAATGGCAAAGTTCAACTCTGTTAGTTGAGGACACATATCACCAACAAGTTTCTGAGAATGCTTCTGTCTATTTTTTATGGGAAGATATTTCCTTTTTCACCGTAGGCGTCAAGGCGATCGAAATGTCCACTTCCACAAACTACAAAAAGAGTGTTTCAAACCTGCTCTATAAAAGGCCATGTTCATCTCTATGAGTTGAATGGAAATATCCGAAAGAAATTTCTGGGAATGCTGCTGTCTAGTTTTTATACGAATTCCCGCTTCCAACGAAATCCTCAAAGCAATCCAAATATCCACTTGCAGAATCCACAAAAAGAGTGTTTCAAAACTGCTCTATCAATAGAAAGGTTCAACTCTTTTAGTTGAGTACACACATCACGAACAAGTTTCTGAGAATGCTTCTGTCTGGCTTTTATTGGAAGACGTTTCCTTTTCACCAAATGCATCAAAGCGCTCCAAATGTCCACTTCCAGATTCTTCCAAAAGAGTGTTTCAAACGTGCTCAAAGTAAGGGAATGTTCAACTCTGTGACTTGAATGCAGATATCACCAAGTAGTTTCTAATAGTGCTTCTGTCTACATTTTAGATGATGATATTCCCGTTTCCAACGAAATCGTTAGAGCTATCCAAATATCCAGTTACAGTTTCTACCAAAAGGGTGTTTCCAAATTGCTGCATCAAAAGAAAGGTTCAACTCTGTTAGTTGAGGACACACATCACAAAGAAGTTTGTGAGAATGCTTTCCTGTCTAGATTTTGTATGACGATATTCCCTTTTCCAACGATATCGTTAAAGCAATCTAAATATCAATTTGCAGAATCCACAAAAACAGAGTTTCAAAGCTGCTCTGTAAAAAGAAAGGTTCCACTCTGTTAGCTGAGTACACACATCCCAAACTTGTTTCTGAGAATCCTTCTGTCTCGTTTTTATGGGAAGATATTTACTTTTCCACTGTAGGCATCAAAGCGCTCCAAATGTCCACATCCAGATACTCCAGAACGAGTGTTTCAAACCTGCTCTATGAAAGGGAATCTTCAACTCTATGAGTTGAATGCAGAATCAGAAAGAAATTTCTGAGAATGCTCTGTCTACCTTTTATTTGAATTCCCGCTTCCAACGAAATCCTCCAAGCTATCCAAATATCCACCTGCATTTTCCACAACAAGAGTGTTTCAAAACTGCTCTATCAATAGAAATGTTCAACTCCTTTGGCTGGGTACACACATCACAAACAAGTTTCTGAGAATGCTTTCTGTCTAGTTTTTATGGGAAGACATTCCCTTTTTCACCAAAGGCATCAAAGCAGCTCCAAATGTCCACTTCCAGACACTACAAAAAGAGTGTTTCAAACGTGCTCTAAGAAAGCGAATGTTCAACTCTGTGGCTTGAATGCAGATATCACAAAGTAGTTTCTGAGAGGGCTTCTCTCTAGATTTTAGATGATGATATTCCCGTTTCCAACGAAATCATTAGAGCTATCCAAATATCCACTTACAGTTTCTACAAAAAGAGTGTTTCCAAACTGCTGCATCAAAAGAGAGGTTCCACTCTGTTAGCTGAGTACACACATCACAAACTTGTTTCTGAGAATCCTTCTGACTCGTTTTTATGGGAAGATATTTACTTTTTCACCGTAGGCATCAAAGCGCTCCAAATGTCCACATCCAGATACTCCAGAAAGAGTGTTTCAAACCTGCTCTATGAAAGGGAATCTTCAACTCTATGAGTTGAATGCAGACATCAGAAAGAAATTTCTGAGAATGCTGCTGTCTACCTTTTATTTGAATTCCCGCTTCCAACGAAATCCTCCAAGCTATCCAAATATCCACTTGCAGATTCCACAAAAAGAGTGTTTCAAAACTGCTCTCTATCAATGGCAAAGTTCAACTCTGTTAGTTGAGGACACATATCACCAACAAGTTTCTGAGAATGCTTCTGTCTTTTTTTATGGGAAGATATTTCCTTTTTCACCGTAGGCGTCAAGGCGATCGAAATGTCCACTTCCACAAACTACAAAAAGAGTGTTTCAAACCTGCTCTATGAAAGGCCATGTTCATCTCTATGAGTCGAATGGAAATATCCGAAAGAAATTTCTGGGAATGCTGCTGTCTAGTGTTTATACGAATTCCCGCTTCCAACGAAATCCTCAAAGCAATCCAAATATCCACTTGCAGAATACACAAAAAGAGTGTTTCAAAACTGCTCTATCAATAGAAAGGTTCAACTCTTTTAGTTGAGTACACACATCACGAACAAGTTTCTGAGAATGCTTCTCTCTGGCTTTTATTGGAAGACGTTTCCTTTTCACCAAAGGCATCAAAGCGCTCCAAATGTCCACTTCCAGATTCTTCCAAAAGAGTGTTTCAAACGTGCTCAAAGTAAGGGAATGTTCAACTCTGTGACTTGAATGCAGATATCACCAAGTAGTTTCTAATAGTGCTTCTGTCTACATTTTAGATGATGATATTCCCGTTTCAAACGAAATCGTTAGAGCTATCCAAATATCCAGTTACAGTTTCTACCAAAAGGGTGTTTCCAAATTGCTGCATCAAAAGAAAGGTTCAACTCTGTTAGTTGAGGACACACATCACAAAGAAGTTTGTGAGAATGCTTCTGTCTAGATTTTGTATGACGATATTCCCTTTTCCAACGATATCGTTAAAGCAATCTAAATATCAATTTGCAGAATCCACAAAAATAGAGTTTCAAAGCTGCTCTGTAAAAAGAAAGGTTCCACTCTGTTAGCTGAGTACACACATCACAAACTTGTTTCTCAGAATCCTTCTGTCTCGTTTTTATGGGAAGATATTTACTTTTTCACCGTGGGCATCAAAGCACTCCAAATGTCCACATCCAGATACTCCAGAAAGAGTGTTTCAAACCTGCTCTATGAAAGGGAATCTTCAACTCTATGAGTTGAATGCAGACATCAGAAAGAAATTTCTGAGAATGCTGCTGTCTACCTTTTATTTGAATTCCCGCTTCCAACGAAATCCTCCAAGCTACTCCAAATATCCACCTTGCACTTTTCCACAAAAAGAGTGTTTCAAAACTGCTCTATCAATAGAAATGTTCAACTCCTTTGGCTGGGTACACACATCACAAACAAGTTTCTGAGGATGCTTCTGTCTAGTTTTTATGGGTAGACATTCCCTTTTTCACCAAAGGAATCAAAGCGCTCCAAATGTCCACTTCCAGACACTACAAAAAGAGTGTTTCAAACGTGCTCTAAGAAAGCGAATGTTCAACTCTGTGACTTGAATGCAGATATCACACAGTAGTTTCTGAGAGTGCTTCTGTCTAGATTTTAGATGATGATATTCCCGTTTCCAACGAAATCATTAGAGCTATCCAAATATCCACTTACAGTTTCTACAAAAAGAGTGTTTCCAAACTGCTGCATCAAAAGAGAGGTTCCACTCTGTTAGCCGAGTACACACATCACAAACTTGTTTCTCAGAATCCTTCTGTCTCGTTTTTATGGGAAGATATTTACTTTTTCACCGTAGGCATCAAAGCGCTCCAAATGTCCACATCCAGATACTCCAGAAAGAGTGTTTCAAACCTGCTCTATGAAAGGTAATCTTCAACTCTATGAGTTGAATGCAGACATCAGAAAGAAATTTCTGAGAATGCTGCTGTCTACCTTTTATTTGAATTCCCGCTTCCAACGAAATCCTCCAAGCTATCCAAATATCCACTTGCAGATTCCACAAAAAGAGTGTTTCAAAACTGCTCTCTATCAATGGCAAAGTTCAACTCTGTTAGTTGAGGACACATATCACCAACAAGTTTCTGAGAATGCTTCTGTCTATTTTTTATGGGAAGATATTTCCTTTTTCACCGTAGGCGTCAAGGCGATCGAAATGTCCACTTCCATAAACTACAAAAAGAGTGTTTCAAACCTGCTCTATGAAAGGCCATGTTCATCTCTATGAGTTGAATGGAAATATCCGAAAGAAATTTCTGGGAATGCTGCTGTCTAGTAGTTTATACGAATTCCCGCTTCCAACGAAATCCTCAAAGCAATCCAAATATCCACTTGCAGAATCCACAAAAAGAGTGTTTCAAAACTGCTCTATCAATAGAAAGGTTCAACTCTTTTAGTTGAGTACACACATCACGAACAAGTTTCTGAGAATGCTTCTGTCTGGCTTTTATTGGAAGACGTTTCCTTTTCACCAAAGGCATCAAAGCGCTCCAAATGTCCACTTCCAGATTCTTCCAAAAGAGTGTTTCAAACGTGCTCAAAGTAAGGGAATGTTCAACTCTGTGACTTGAATGCAGATATCACCAAGTAGTTTCTAATAGTGCTTCTGTCTAGATTTTAGATGATGATATTCCCGTTTCCAACGAAATCGTTAGAGCTATCCAAATATCCACTTACACTTTCTACAAAAAGAGTGTTTCCAAACTGCTGCATCAAAAGAAAGGTTCAACTCTGTTAGTTGAGGACACACATCACAAAGAAGTTTGTGAGAATGCTTCTGTCCAGATTTTGTATGACGATATTCCCTTTTCCAACGATATCGTTAAAGCAATCTAAATATCAATTTGCAGAATCCACAAAAATAGAGTTTGAAAGCTGCTCTGTAAAAAGAAAGGTTCCACTCTGTTAGCTGAGTACACACATCACAAACTTGTTTCTGAGAATCCTTCTGTCTCGTTTTTATGGGAAGATATTTCCTTTTTCACCGTAGGCATCAAAGTGCTCCAAATGTCCACATCCAGATACTCCAGAAAGAGTGTTTCAAACCTGCTCTATGAAAGGGAATCTTCAACTCTATGAGTTGAATGCAGACATCAGAAAGAAATTTCTGAGAATGCTGCTGTCTACCTTTTATTTGAATTCCCGCTTCCAACGAAATCCTCCAAGCTATCCAAATATCCACCTGCATTTTCCACAAAAAGAGTGTTTCAAACCTGCTCTATCAATAGAAATGTTCAACTCCTTTGGCTGGGTACACACATCACAAACAAGTTTCTGAGAATGCTTCTGTCTAGTTTTTATGGGTAGACATTCCCTTTTTCACCAAAGGAATCAAAGCGCTCCAAATGTCCACTTCCAGACACTACAAAAAGAGTGTTTCCAACGTGCTCTAAGAAAGCTAATGTTCAACTCTGTGACTTGAATGCAGATATCACAAAGTAGTTTCTGAGAGGGCTTCTGTCTAGATTTTAGATGATGATATTCCCGTTTCCAACGAAATCATTAGAGCTATCCAAATATCCACTTACAGTTTCTACAAAAAGAGTGTTTCCAAACTGCTGCATCAAAAGAGAGGTTCCACTCTGTTAGCTGAGTACACACATCACAAACTTGTTTCTCAGAATCCTTCTGTCTCGTTTTTATGGGAAGATATTTACTTTTCCACCGTAGGCATCAAAGCGCTCCAAATGTCCACATCCAGATACTCCAGAACGAGTGTTTCAAACCTGCTCTATGAAAGGGAATCTTCAACTACTATGAGTTGAATGCAGACATCAGAAAGAAATTTCTGAGAATGCTGCTGTCTACCTTTTATTTGAATTCCCGCTTCCAACGAAATCCTCCAAGCTATCCAAATATCCACTTGCAGATTCCACAAAAAGAGTGTTTCAAAACTGCTCTCTATCAATGGCAAAGTTCAACTCTGTTAGTTGAGGACACATATCACCAACAAGTTTCTGAGAATGCTTCTGTCTATTTTTTATGGGAAGATATTTCCTTTTTCACCGTAGGCGTCAAGGCGATCGAAATGTCCACTTCCACAAACTACAAAAAGAGTGTTTCAAACCTGCTCTATGAAAGGCGATGTTCATCTGTATGAGTTGAATGGAAATATCCGAAAGAAATTTCTGGGAATGCTGCTGTCTAGTTTTTATACGAATTCCCGCTTCCAACGAAATCCTCAAAGCAATCCAAATATCCACTTGCAGAATCCACAAAAAGAGTGTTTCAAAACTGCTCTATCAATAGAAAGGTTCAACTCTTTTAGTTGAGTACACACATCACAAACAAGTTTCTGAGAATGCTTCTGTCTGGCTTTTATTGGAAGACGTTTCATTTTCACCAAAGGCATCAAAGCGCTCCAAATGTCCACTTCCAGATTCTTCCAAAAGAGTGTTTCAAACGTGCTCAAAGTAAGGGAATGTTCAACTCTTTGACTTGAATGCAGATATCACAAAGTAGGTTCTAATAGTGCTCTGTCTAGATTTTAGATGATGATATTCCCGTTTCCAACGAAATCGTTAGAGCTATCCAAATATCCACTTACAGTTTCTACAAAAAGAGTGTTTCCAAACTGCTGCATCAAAAGAAAGGTTCAACTCTGTTAGTTGAGGACACACATCACAAAGAAGTTTGTGAGAATGCTTTCTGTCTAGATTTTGTATGACGATATTCCCTTTTCCAACGATATTGTTAAAGCAATCTAAATATCAATTTGCAGAATCCACAAAAATAGAGTTTCAAAGCTGCTCTGTAAAAAGAAAGGTTCCACTCTGTTAGCTGAGTACACACATCACAAACTTGTTTCTGAGAATCCTTCTGTCTCGTTTTTCTGGGAAGATATTTACTTTTTCACCGTAGGCATCAAAGCGCTCCAAATGTCCACATCCAGATACTCCAGAAAGAGTGTTTCAAACCTGCTCTATGAAAGGGAATGTTCAACTCTATGAGTTGAATGCAGACATCAGAAAGAAATTTCTGAGAATGCTGCTGTCTACCTTTTATTTGTATTCCCGCTTCCAACGAAATCCTCCAAACTATCCAAATATCCACCTGCATTTTCCACAACAAGAGTGTTTCAAAACTGCTCTATCAATAGAAATGTTCAACTCCTTTGGCTGGGTACACACATCACAAACAAGTCTCTGAGAATGCTTCTGTCTAGTTTTTATGGGAAGACATTCCCTTTTTCACCAAAGGCATCAAAGCGCTCCAAATGTCCACTTCCAGACACTACAAAAAGAGTGTTTCAAACGTGCTCTAAGAAACCGAATGTTCAACTCTGTGACTTGAATGCAGATATCACAAAGTAGTTTCTGAGAGTGCTTCTGTCTAGATTTTAGATGATGATATTCCCGTTTCCAACGAAATCATTAGAGCTATCCAAATATCCACTTACAGTTTCTACAAAAAGAGTGTTTCCAAACTGCTGCATCAAAAGAGAGGTTCCACTCTGTTAGCTGAGTACACACATCACAAACTTGTTTCTCAGAATCCTTCTGTCTCGTTTTTATGGGAAGATATTTACTTTTCCACCGTAGGCATCAAAGCGCTCCAAATGTCCACATCCAGATACTCCAGAACGAGTGTTTCAAACCTGCTCTATGAAAGGGAATGCTCAACTCTATGAGTTGAATGCAGACATCAGAAAGAAATTTCTGAGAATGCTGCTGTCTACCTTTTATTTGAATTCCCGCTTCCAACGAAATCCTCCAAGCTATCCAAATATCCACTTGCAGATTCCACAAAAAGAGTGTTTCAAAACTGCTCTCTATCAATGGCAAAGTTCAACTCTGTTAGTTGAGGACACATATCACCAACAAGTTTCTGAGAATGCTTCTGTCTATTTTTTATGGGAAGATATTTCCTTTTTCACCGTAGGCGTCAAGGCGATCGAAATGTCCACTTCCACAAACTACAAAAAGAGTGTTTCAAACCTGCTCTATGAAAGGCCATGTTCATCTCTATGAGTCGAATGGAAATATCCAAAAGAAATTTCTGGGAATGCTGCTGTCTAGTTTTTATACGAATTCCCGCTTCCAACGAAATCCTCAAAGCAATCCAAATATCCACTTGCAGAATCCACAAAAAGAGTGTTTCAAAACTGCTCTATCAATAGAAAGGTTCAACTCTTTTAGTTGAGTACACACATCACAAACAAGTTTCTGAGAATGCTTCTGTCTGGCTTTTATTGGAAGACGTTTCCTTTTCACCAAAGGCATCAAAGCGCTCCAAATGTCCACTTCCAGATTCTTCCAAAAGAGTGTTTGAAACGTGCTCAAAGTAAGGGAATGTTCAACTCTGTGACTTGAATGCAGATATCACCAAGTAGTTTCTAATAGTGCTTCTGTCTAGATTTTAGATGATGATATTCCCGTTTCCAACGAAATCGTTAGAGCTATCCAAATATCCACTTACAGTTTCTACAAAAAGAGTGTTTCCAAACTGCTGCATCAAAAGAAACGTTCAACTCTGTTAGTTGAGGACACACATCACAAAGAAGTTTGTGAGAATTCTTCTGTCTGGATTTTGTATGACGATATTCCCTTTTCCAACGATATCGTTAAAGCAATCTAAATATCAATTTGCAGAATCCACAAAAATAGAGTTTCAAAGCTGCTCTGTAAAAAGAAAGGTTCCACTCTGTTAGCTGAGTACACACATCACAAACTTGTTTCTGAGAATCCTTCTGTCTCGTTTTTATGGGAAGATATTTACTTTTTCACCGTAGGCATCAAAGCACTCCAAATGTCCACATCCAGATACTCCAGAAAGACTGTTTCAAACCTGCTCTATGAAAGGGAATCTTCAACTCTATGAGTTGAATGCAGACATCAGAAAGAAATTTCTGAGAATGCTGCTGTCTACCTTTTATTTGAATTCCCGCTTCCAACGAAATCCTCCAAGCTATCCAAATATCCACCTGCATTTTCCACAAAAAGAGTGTTTCAAAACTGCTCTAGCAATAGAAATGTTCAACTCCTTTGGCTGGGTACACACATCACAAACAAGTTTCTGAGAATGCTTCTGTCTAGTTTTTATGGGAAGACGTTCCCTTTTTCACCAAAGGCATCAAAGCGCTCCAAATGTCCACTTCCAGACACTACAAAAAGAGTGTTTCAAACGTGCTCTAAGAAAGCGAATGTTCAACTCTGTGACTTGAATGCAGATATCACAAAGTAGTTTCTGAGAGGGCTTCTGTCTAGATTTTAGATGATGATATTCCCGTTTCCAACGAAATCATTAGAGCTATCCAAATATCCACATACAGTTTCTACAAAAAGAGTGTTTCCAAACTGCTGCATCCAAAGAGAGGTTCCACTCTGTTAGCTGAGTACACACATCACAAACTTGTTTCTCAGAATCCTTCTGTCTCGTTTTTATGGGAAGATATTTACTTTTTCATCGTAGGCCTCAAATCGCTCCAAATGTCCACATCCAGATACTCCAGAAAGAGTATTTCAAACCTGCTCTATGAAAGGGAATCTTCAACTCTATGAGTTGAATGCAGACATCAGAAAGAAATTTCTGAGAATGCTGCTGTCTACCTTTTATTTGAATTCCCGCTTCCAACGAAATCCTCCAAGCTATCCAAATATCCACTTGCAGATTCCACAAAAAGAGTGTTTCAAAACTGCTCTCTATCAATGGCAAAGTTCAACTCTGTTAGTTGAGGACACATATCACCAACAAGTTTCTGAGAATGCTTCTGTCTATTTTTTATGGGAAGATATTTCCTTTTTCAGCGTAGGCGTCAAGGCGATCGAAATGTCCACTTCCACAAACTACAAAAAGAGTGTTTCAAACCTGCTCTATGAAAGGCCATGTTCATCTCTATGAGTTGAATGGAAATATCCGAAAGAAATTTCTGGGAATGCTGCTGTCTAGTGTTTATACGAATTCCCGCTTCCAATGAAATCCTCAAAGCAATCCAAATATCCACTTGCAGAATCCACAAAAAGAGTGTTTCAAAACTGCTCTATCAATAGAAAGGTTCAACTCTTTTAGTTGAGTACACACATCACAAACAAGTTTCTGAGAATGCTTCTGTCTGGCTTTTATTGGAAGACGTTTCCTTTTCACCAAAGGCATCAAAGCGCTCCAAATGTCCACTTCCAGATTCTTCCAAAAGAGTGTTTCAAACGTGCTCGAAGTAAGGGAATGTTCAACTCTGTGACTTGAATGCAGATGTCACCAAGTAGTTTCTAATAGTGCTTCTGTCTAGATTTTAGATGATGATATTCCCGTTTCCAACGAATTCGTTAGAGCTATCCAAATATCCACTTACAGTTTCTACCAAAAGGGTGTTTCCAAACTGCTGCATCAAAAGAAAGGTTCAACTCTGTTAGTTGAGGACACACATCACAAAGAAGTTTGTGAGAATGCTTCTGTCCAGATTTTGTATGACGATATTCCCTTTTCCAACGATATCGTTAAAGCAATCTAAATATCAATTTGCAGAATCCACAAAAATAGAGTTTCAAAGCTGCTCTGTAAAAAGAAAGGTTCCACTCTGTTAGCTGAGTACACACATCTCAAACTTGTTTCTCAGAATCCTTCTGTCTCGTTTCTATGGGAAGATATTTACTTTTCCACCATAGGCATCAAAGCGCTCCAAATGTCCACATCCAGATACTCCAGAACGAGTGTTTCAAACCTGCTCTATGAAAGGGAATCTTCAACTCTATGAGTTGAATGCAGAATCAGAAAGAAATTTCTGAGAATGCTGCTGTCTACCTTTTATTTGAATTCCCGCTTCCAACGAAATCCTCCAAGCTATCCAAATATCCACCTGCATTTTGCACAAAAAAAGTGTTTCAAAACTGCTCTATCAATAGAAATGTTCAACTCCTTTGTCTGGGTACACACATCACAAACAAGTTTCTGAGAATGCTTCTGTCTAGTTTTTATGGGAAGACATTCCCTTTTTCACCAAAGGCATCAAAGCGCTCCAAATGTCCACTTCCAGACACTACAAAAAGAGTGTTTCAAACGTGCTCTAAGAAAGCGAATGTTCAACTCTGTGACTTGAATGCAGATATCACCAAGTAGTTTCTGAGAGGGCTTCTGTCTAGATTTTAGATGATGATATTCCCGCTTCCAACGAAATCATTAGAGCTATCCAAATATCCACTTACAGTTTCTACAAAAAGAGTGTTTCCAAACTGCTGCATCAAAAGAAAGGTTCAACTCTGTTAGTTGAGGACACACATCACAAAGAAGTTTGTGAGAATGCTGCTGTCTACCTTTTATTTGAATTCCCGCTTCCAACGAAATCCTCCAAGCTATCCAAATATCCTCCTGCATTTTCCACAACAAGAGTGTTTCAAAACTGCTCTATCAATAGAAATGTTCAACTCCTTTGGCTGGGTACACACATCACAAACAAGTTTCTGAGAATGCTTCTGTCTAGTTTTTATGGGAAGACGTTCCCTTTTTCACCAAAGGCATCAAAGCGCTCCAAATGTCCACTTCCAGACACTACAAAAAGGGTGTTTCAAACGTGCTCTAAGAAAGCAAATGTTCAACTCTGTGACTTGAATGCAGATATCACAAAGTAGTTTCTGAGAGGGCTTCTGTCTAGATTTTAGATGATGATATTCCCGTTTCCAACGAAATCATTAGAGCTATCCAAATATCCACTTACAGTTTCTACAAAAAGAGTGTTTCCAAACTGCTGCATCAAAAGAGAGGTTCCACTCTGTTAGCTGAGTACACACATCACAAACTTGTTTCTCAGAATCCTTCTGTCTCGTTTTTCTGGGAAGATATTTACTTTTTCACCGTAGGCATCAAAGCGCTCCAAATGTCCACATCCAGATACTCCAGAAAGAGTGTTTCAAACCTGCTCTATGAAAGGGAATCTTCAACTCTATGAGTTGAATGCAGACATCAGAAAGAAATTTCTGAGAATGCTGCTGTCTACCTTTTATTTGAATTCCCGCTTCCAACGAAATCCTCCAAGCTATCCAAATATCCACTTGCAGATTCCACAAAAAGAGTGTTTCCAAACTGCTCTCTATCAATGGCAAAGTTCAACTGCTGTTAGTTGAGGACACATATCACCAACAAGTTTCTGAGAATGCTTATCTGTCTATTTTTTATGGGAAGATATTTCCTTTTTCACCGTAGGCGTCAAGGCGATCGAAATGTCCACTTCCACAAACTACAAAAAGAGTGTTTCAAACCTGCTCTATGAAAGGCAATGTTCATCTCTATGAGTTGAATGGAAATATCCGAAAGAAATTTCTGGGAATGCTGCTGTCTAGTTTTTATACGAATTCCCGCTTCCAACGAAATCCTCAAAGCAATCCAAATATCCACTTGCAGAATCCACAAAAAGAGTGTTTCAAAACTGCTCTATCAATAGAAAGGTTCAACTCTTTTAGTTGAGTACACACATCACAAACAAGTTTCTGAGAATGCTTCTGTCTGGCTTTTATTGGAAGACGTTTCCTTTTCACCAAAGGCATCAAAGCGCTCCAAATGTCCACTTCCAGATTCTTCCAAAAGAGTGTTTCAAACGTGCTCAAAGTAAGGGAATGTTCAACTCTGTGACTTGAATGCAGATATCACCAAGTAGTTTCTAATAGTGCTTCTGTCTAGATTTCAGATGATGATATTCCCGTTTCCAACGAAATCGTTAGAGCTAAGCAAATATCCAGTTACAGTTTCTACCAAAAGGGTGTTTCCAAATTGCTGCATCAAAAGATAGGTTCAACTCTGTTAGTTGAGGACACACATCACAAAGAAGTTTGTGAGAATGCTTCTGTCTAGATTTTGTATGACGATATTCCCTTTTCCAACGATATCGTTAAAGCAATCTAAATATCAATTTGCAGAATCCACAAAAATAGAGTTTCAAAGCTGCTCTGTAAAAAGAAAGGTTCCACTCTGTTAGCTGAGTACACACATCACAAACTTGTTTCTCAGAATCCTTCTGTCTCGTTTTTATGGGAAGATATTTACTTTTCCACCGTAGGCATCAAAGCGCTCCAAATGTCCACATCCAGATACTCCAGAACGAGTGTTTCAAACCTGCTCTATGAAAGGGAATCTTCAACTCTATGAGTTGAATGCAGACATCAGAAAGAAATTTCTGAAAATGCTGCTGTCTACCTTTTATTTGAATTCCCGCTTCCAACGAAATCCTCCAAGCTATCCAAATATCCACTTGCAGATTCCACAAAAAGAGTGTTTCAAAACTGCTCTATCAATAGAAATGTTCAACTCCTTTAGCTGGGTACACACATCACAAACAAGTTTCTGAGAATGCTTCTGTCTAGTTTTTATGGGAAGACGTTCCCTTTTTCACCAAAGGCATCAAAGCGCTCCAAATGTCCACTTCCAGACACTACAAAAAGATTGTTTCCAACGTGCTCTAAGAAAGCGAATGTTCAACTCTGTGACTTGAATGCAGATATCACAAAGTAGTTTCTGAGAGGGCTTCTGTCTAGATTTTAGATGATGATATTCCCGTTTCCAACGAAATCATTAGAGCTATCCAAATATCCACTTACAGTTTCTACAAAAAGAGTGTTTCCAAACTGCTGCATCAAAAGAGAGGTTCCACTCTGTTAGCTGAGTACACACATCACAAACTTGTTTCTCAGAATCCTTCTGTCTCGTTTTTATGGGAAGATATTTACTTTCTCACCGTAGGCATCAAAGCGCTCCAAATGTCCACATCCAGATACTCCAGAAAGAGTGTTTCAAACCTGCTCTATGAAAGGGAATCTTCAACTCTATGAGTTGAATGCAGACATCAGAAAGAAATTTCTGAGAATGCTGCTGTCTACCTTTTATTTGAATTCCCGCTTCCAACGAAATCCTCCAAGCTATCCAAATATCCACTTGCAGATTCCACAAAAAGAGTGTTTCAAAACTGCTCTCTATCAATGGCAAAGATCCACTCTGTTAGTTGAGGACACATATCACCAACAAGTTTCTGAGAATGCTCTGTCTATTTTTTATGGGAAGATATTTCCTTTTTCACCGTAGGCATCAAGGCGATCGAAATGTCCACTTCCACAAACTACAAAAAGAGTGTTTCAAACCTGCTCTATGAAAGGCGATGTTCATCTCTATAAGTTGAATGGAAATATCCGAAAGAAATTTCTGGGAATGCTGGCTGTCTAGTGTTTATACGAATTCCCGCTTCCAACGAAATCCTCAAAGCAATCCAAATATCCACTTGCAGAATCCACAAAAAGAGTGTTTCAAAACTGCGCTATCAAAAGAAAGGTTCAACTCTTTTAGTTGAGTACACACATCACGAACAAGTTTCTGAGAATGCTTCTCTCTGGCTTTTATTGGAAGACGTTTCCTTTTCACCAAAGGCATCAAAGCGCTCCAAATGTCCACTTCCAGATTCTTCCAAAAGAGTGTTTCAAACGTGCTCAAAGTAAGGGAATGTTCAACTCTGTGACTTGAATGCAGATATCACCAAGTAGTTTCTAATAGTGCTTCTGTCTAGATTTTAGATGATGATATTCCCGTTTCCAACGAAATCGCTAGAGCTATCCAAATATCCAGTTACAGTTTCTACTAAAAGGGTGTTTCCAAATTGCTGCATCAAAAGAAAGGTTCAACTCTGTTAGTTGAGGACACACATCACAAAGAAGTTTGTGAGAATGCTTCTGTCTAGATTTTGTATGACGGTATTCCCTTTTCCAACGATATCGTTAAAGCAATCTAAATATCAATTTGCAGAATCCACAACAATAGAGTTTCAAAGCTGCTCTGTAAAAAGAAAGGTTCCACTCTGTTAGCTGAGTACACACATCACAAACTTGTTTCTGAGAATCCTTCTGTCTCGTTTTTATGGGAAGATATTTACTTTTTCACCGTAGGCATCAAAGCGCTCCAAATGTCCACATCCAGATACTCCAGAAAGAGTGTTTCAAACCTACTCTATGAAAGGGAATCTTCAACTCTATGAGTTGAATGCAGACATCAGAAAGAAATTTCTGAGAATGCTGCTGTCTAACTTTTATTTGAATTCCCGCTTCCAACGAAATCCTCCAAGCTATCCAAATATCCACCTGCATTTTCCACAACAAGAGTGTTTCAAAACTGCTCTATCAATAGAAATGTTCAACTCCTTTGGCTGGGTACACACATCACAAACAAGTTTCTGAGAATGCTTCTGTCTAGTTTTTATGGGAAGACATTCCCTTTTTCACCAAAGGCATCAAAGCGCTCCAAATGTCCACTTCCAGACACTACAAAAAGAGGGTTTCAAACGTGCTCTAAGAAAGCGAATGTTCAACTCTGTGACTTGAATGCAGATATCACAAAGTAGTTTCTGAGAGGGCTTCTGTCTAGATTTTAGATGATGATATTCCCGTTTCCAACGAAATCATTAGAGCTATCCAAATATCCACTTACAGTTTCCACAAAAAGAGTGTTTCCAAACTGCTGCATCAAAAGAGAGGTTCCACTCTGTTAGCTGAGTACACACATCACAAACTTGTTTCTCAGAATCCTTCTGTCTCGTTTTTATGGGAAGATATTTACTTTCTCACCGTAGGCATCAAAGCGCTCCAAATGTCCACATCCAGATACTCCAGAAAGAGTGTTTCAAACCTGCTCTATGAAAGGGAATCTTCAACTCTATGAGTTGAATGCAGGCATCAGAAAGAAATTTCTGAGAATGCTGCTGTCTACCTTTTATTTGAATTCCCGCTTCCAACGAAATCCTCCAAGCTATCCAAATATCCACTTGCAGATTCCACAAAAAGAGTGTTTCAAAACTGCTCTCTATCAATGGCAAAGTTCAACTCTGTTAGTTGAGGACACATATCACCAACAAGTTTCTGAGAATGCTTCTGTCTATTTTTTATGGGTAGATATTTCCTTTTTCACCGTAGGCATCAAGGCGATCGAAATGTCCACTTCCACAAACTACAAAAAGAGTGTTTCAAACCTGCTCTATGAAAGGCCATGTTCATCTCTATGAGTTGAATGGAAATATCCGAAAGAAATTTCTGGGAATGCTGCTGTCTAGTTTTTATACGAATTCCCGCTTCCAACGAAATCCTCAAAGCAATCCAAATATCCACTTGCAGAATCCACAAAAAGAGTGTTTCAAAACTGCTCTATCAATAGAAAGGTTCAACTCTTTTAGTTGAGTACACACATCACAAACAAGTTTCTGAGAATGCTTCTGTCTGGCTTTTATTGGAAGACGTTTCCTTTTCACCAAAGGCATCAAAGCGCTCCAAATGTCCACTTCCAGATTCTTCCAAAAGAGTGTTTCAAACGTGCTCAAAGTAAGGGAATGTTCAACTCTGTGACTTGAATGCAGATATCACTAAGTAGTTTCTAATAGTGCTTCTGTCTAGATTTTAGATGATGATATTCCCGTTTCCAACGAAATCGTTAGAGCTATCCAAATATCCACTTATAGTTGCTACAAAAACAGTGTTTCCAAACTGCTGCATCAAAAGAAAGGTTCAACTCTGTTAGTTGAGGACACACGTCACAAAGAAGTTTGTGAGAATGCTTCTGTCTAGATTTTGTATGACGATATTCCCTTTTCCAACGATATCATTAAAGCAATCTAAATATCAATTTGCAGAATCCACAAAAATAGAGTTTCAAAGCTGCTCTGTAAAAAGAAAGGTTCCACTCTGTTAGCTGAGTACACACATCACAAACTTGTTTCTGAGAATCCTTCTGTCTCGTTTTTATGGGAAGATATTTACTTTTCCACTGTAGGCATCAAAGCGCTCCAAATGTCCACATCCAGATACTCCAGAACGAGTGTTTCAAACCTGCTCTATGAAAGGGAATCTTCAACTCTATGAGGTTGAATGCAGACATCAGAAAGAAATTTCTGAGAATGCTGCTGTCTACCTTTTATTTGAATTCCCGCTTCCAACGAAATCCTCCAAGCTATCCAAATATCCACCTGCATTTTCCACAAAAAGAGTGTTTCAAACCTGCTCTATCAATAGAAATGTTCAACTCCTTTGGCTGGGTACACACATCACAAACAAGTTTCTGAGAATGCTTCTGTCTAGTTTTTATGGGAAGACATTCCCTTTTTCACCAAAGGCATCAAAGCGCTCCAAATGTCCACTTCCAGACACTACAAAAAGAGTGTTTCAAACGTGCTCTAAGAAAACGAATGTTCAAATCTGTGACTTGAATGCAGATATCACAAAGTGGTTTCTGAGAGGGCTTCTCTCTAGATTTTAGATGATGATATTCCCGTTTCCAACGAAATCATTAGAGCTATCCAAATATCCACTTACAGTTTCTACAAAAAGAGTGTTTCCAAACTGCTGCATCAAAAGAGAGGTTCCACTCTGTTAGCTGAGTACAAACATCACAAACTTGTTTCTGAGAATCCTTCTGTCTCGTTTTTATGGGAAGATATTTACTTTTTCACCGTAGGCATCAAAGCGCTCCAAATGTCCACATCCAGATACTCCAGAAAGAGTGTTTCAAACCTGTTCTATGAAAGGGAATGTTCAACTCTATGAGTTGAATGCAGACATCAGAAAGAAATTTCTGAGAATGCTGCTGTCTACCTTTTATTTGAATTCCCGCTTCCAACGAAATCCTCCAAGCTATCCAAATATCCACTTGCAGATTCCACAAAAAGAGTGTTTCAAAACTGCTCTCTATCAATGGCAAAGTTCAACTCTGTTAGTTGAGGACACATATCACCAACAAGTTTCTGAGAATGCTTCTGTCTATTTTTTATGGGAAGATATTTCCTTTTTCACCGTAGGCGTCAAGGCGATCGAAATGTCCACTTCCACAAACTACAAAAAGCGTGTTTCAAACCTGCTCTATGAAAGGCCATGTTCATCTCTATGAGTTGAATGGAAATATCCGAAAGAAATTTCTGGGAATGCTGCTGTCTAGTTTTTATACGAATTCCCGCTTCCAACGAAATCCTCAAAGCAATCCAAATATCCACTTGCAGAATCCACAAAAAGAGTGTTTCAAAACTGCTCTATCAATAGAAAGGTTCAACTCTTTTAGTTGAGTACACACATCACAAACAAGTTTCTGAGAATGCTTCTGTCTGGCTTTTATTGGAAGACGTTTCCTTTTCACCAAAGGCATCAAAGCGCTCCAAATGTCCACTTCCAGATTCTTCCAAAAGAGTGTTTGAAACGTGCTCAAAGTAAGGGAATGTTCAACTCTGTGACTTGAATGCAGATATCACCAAGTAGTTTCTAATAGTGCTTGTCTGTCTACATTTTAGATGATGATATTCCCGTTTCCAACGAAATCGTTAGAGCTATCCAAATATCCAGTTACAGTTTCTACCAAAAGGGTGTTTCCAAATTGCTGCATCAAAAGAAAGGTTCAACTCCGTTAGTTGAGGACACACATCACAAACAAGTTTGTGAGAATGCTTCTGTCTAGATTTTGTATGACCATATTCCCTTTTCCAACGATATCGTTAAAGCAATCTAAATATCCATTTGCAGAATCCACAAAAATAGAGTTTCAAAGCTGCTCTGTAAAAAGAAAGGTTCCACTCTGTTAGCTGAGTACACACATCACAAACTTGTTTCTCAGAATCCTTCTGTCTCGTTTTTATGGGAAGATATTTACTTTTCCACCGTAGGCATCAAAGCGCTCCAAATGTCCACATCCAGATACTCCAGAAAGACTGTTTCAAACCTGCTCTATGAAAGGGAATCTTCAACTCTATGAGTTGAATGCAGACATCAGAAAGAAATTTCTGAGAATTCTGCTGTCTACCTTTTATTTGAATTCCCGCGTCCAACGAAATCCTCCAAGCTATCCAAATATCCACTTGCATTTTCCACAAAAAGAGTGTTTCAAAACTGCTCTATCAATAGAAATGTTCAACTCCTTTAGCTGGGTACACACATCACAAACAAGTTTCCTGAGAATGCTTCTTTCTAGTTTTTATGGGAAGACATTCCCTTTCTCACCAAAGGCATCAAAGCGCTCCAAATGTCCACTTCCAGACACTACAAAAAGAGTGTTTCAAACGTGCTCTAAGAAAGCGAATATTCAACTCTGTGACTTGAATGCAGATATCACAAAGTAGTTTCTGAGAGGGCTTCTGTCTAGATTTTAGATGATGATATTCCCGTTTCCAACGAAATCATTAGAGCTATCCAAATATCCACTTACAGTTTCTACAAAAAGAGTGTTTCCAAACTGCTGCATCAAAAGAGAGGTTCCACTCTGTTAGCTGAGTACACACATCACAAACTTGATTCTCAGAATCCTTCTGTCTCGTTTTTATGGGAAGATATTTACTTTTTCACCGTAGGCATCAAAGCGCTCCAAATGTCCACATCCAGATACTCCACAAAGAGTGTTTCAAACCTGCTCTATGAACGGGAATCTTCAACTCTATGAGTTGATTGCAGACATCAGAAAGAAATTTCTGAGAATGCTGCTGTCTACCTTTTATTTGAATTCCCGCTTCCAACGAAATCCTCCAAGCTATCCAAATATCCACTTGCAGATTCCACAAAAAGAGTGTTTCAAAACTGCTCTCTATCAATGGCAAAGTTCAACTCTGTTAGTTGAGGACACATATCACCAACAAGTTTCTGAGAATGCTTCTGTCTGTTTTTTATGGGAAGATATTTCCTTTTTCACCGTAGGCGTCAAGGCGATCGAAATGTCCACTTCCACAAACTACAAAAAGAGTGTTTCAAACCTGCTCTATGAAAGGCCATGTTCATCTCTATGAGTCGAATGGAAATATCCGAAAGAAATTTCTGGGAATGCTGCTGTCTAGTTTTTATACGAATTCCCGCTTCCAACGAAATCCTCAAAGCAATCCAAATATCCACTTGCAGAATCCACAAAAAGAGTGTTTCAAAACTGCTCTATCAATAGAAAGGTTCAACTCTTTTAGTTGAGTACACACATCACAAACAAGTTTCTGAGAATGCTTCTGTCTGGCTTTTATTGGAAGACGTTTCCTTTTCACCAAAGGCATCAAAGCGCTCCAAATGTCCACTTCCAGATTCTTCCAAAAGAGTGTTTGAAACGTGCTCAAAGTAAGGGAATGTTCAACTCTGTGACTTGAATGCAGATATCACCAACTAGTTTCTAATAGTGCTTCTGTCTAGATTTTAGATGATGATATTCCCGTTTCCAACGAAATCGTTAGAGCTATCCAAATATCCACTCACAGTTTCTACAAAAAGAGTGTTTCCAAACTGCTGCATCAAAATAAAGGTTCAACTCTGTTAGTTGAGGACACACATCACAAAGAAGTTTGTGAGAATGCTTCTGTCTAGATTTTGTATGACGATATTCCCTTTTCCAACGATATCGTTAAAGCAATCTAAATATCCATTTGCAGAATCCACAAAAATAGAGTTTCAAAGCTGCTCTGTAAAAAGAAAGGTTCCACTCTGTTAGCTGAGTACACACATCACAAACTTGTTTCTGAGAATCCTTCTGTCTCGTTTTTATGGGAAGATATTTACTTTTTCACCGTAGGCATCAAAGCGCTCCAAATGTCCACATCCAGATACTCCAGAAAGAGTGTTTCAAACCTGCTCTATGAAAGGGAATCTTCAACTCTATGAGTTGAATGCAGACATCAGAAAGAAATTTCTGAGAATGCTGCTGTCTACCTTTTATTTGAATTCCCGCTTCCAACGAAATCCTCCAAGCTATCCAAATATCCACCTGCATTTTCCACAACAAGAGTGTTTCGAAACTGCTCTATCAATAGAAATGTTCAACTCCTTTGGCTGGGTACACACATCACAAACAAGTTTCTGAGAATGCTTCTGTCTAGTTTTTATGGGAAGACATTCCCTTTTTCACCAAAGGCATCAAAGCGCTACAAATGTCCACTTCCAGACACTACAAAAAGAGTGTTTCAAACGTGCTCTAAGAAACCGGATGTTCAACTCTGTGACTTGAATGCAGATATCACAAAGTAGTTTCTGAGAGGGCTTCTGTCTAGATTTTAGATGATGATATTCCCGTTTCCAACGAAATCATTAGAGCTATCCAAATATCCACTTACAGTTTCTACAAAAAGAGTGTTTCCAAACTGCTGCATCTAAAGAGAGGTTCCACTCTGTTAGCTGAGTACACACATCAAAATCTTGTTTCTGAGAATCCTTCTGTCTCGTTTTTATGGGAAGATTATACTTTTTCACCGTAGGCATCAAAGCGCTCCAAATGTCCACATCCAGATACTCCAGAAAGAGTGTTTCAAACCTGCTCTATGAAAGGGAATCTTCAACTCTATGAGTTGAATGCAGACATCAGAAAGAAATTTCTGAGAATGCTGCTGTCTACCTTTTATTTGAATTCCCGCTTCCAACGAAATCCTCCAAGCTATCCAAATATCCACTTGCAGATTCCACAAAAAGAGTGTTTCAAAACTGCTCTCTATCAATGGCAAAGTTCAACTCTGTTAGTTGAGGACACATATCACCAACAAGTTTCTGAGAATGCTTCTGTCTATTTTTTATGGGAAGATACTTCCTTTTTCACCGTAGGCGTCAAGGCGATCGAAATGTCCACTTCCACAAACTACAAAAAGAGTGTTTCAAACCTGCTCTATGAAAGGCCATGTTCATCTCTATGAGTTGAATGGAAATATCCAAAAGAAATTTCTGGGAATGCTGCTGTCTAGTTGTTATACGAATTCCCGCTTCCAACGAAATCCTCAAAGCAATCCAAATATCCACTTGCAGAATCCACAAAAAGAGTGTTTCAAAACTGCTCTATCAATAGAAAGGTTCAACTCTTTTAGTTGAGTACACACATCACAAACAAGTTTCTGAGAATGCTTCTGTCTGGCTTTTATTGGAAGACGTTTCCTTTTCACCAAAGGCATCAAAGCGCTCCAAATGTCCACTTCCAGATTCTTCCAAAAGAGTGTTTCAAACGTGCTCAAAGTAAGGGAATGTTCAACTCTGTGACTTGAATGCAGATATCACCAAGTAGTTTCTAATAGTGCTTCTGTCTAGATTTTAGATGATGATATTCCCGTTTCCAACGAAATCATTAGAGCTATCCAAATATCCAGTTACAGTTTCTACCAAAAGGGTGTTTCCAAATTGCTGCATCAAAAGAAAGGTTCAACTCTGTTAGTTGAGGACACACATCACAAAGAAGTTTGTGAGAATGCTTCTGTCCAGATTTTGTATGACGATATTCCCTTTTCCAACGATATCGTTAAAGCAATCTAAATATCAATTTGCAGAATCCACAAAAATAGAGTTTCAAAGCTGCTCTGTAAAAAGAAAGGTTCCACTCTGTTAGCTGAGTACACACATCACAAACTTGTTTCTCAGAATCCTTCTGTCTCGTTTTTCTGGGAAGATATTTACTTTTTCACCGTAGACATCAAAGCGCTCCAAATGTCCACATCCAGATACTCCAGAAAGAGTGTTTCAAACCTGCTCTATGAAAGGGAATCTTCAACTCTATGAGTTGAATGCAGACATCAGAAAGAAATTTCTGAGAATGCTGCTGTCTACCTTTTATTTGAACTCCCGCTTCCAACGAAATCCTCCAAGCTATCCAAATATCCACTTGCATTTTCCACAAAAAGAGTGCTTCAAAACTGCTCTATCAATAAATGTTCAACTCCTTTAGCTGGGTGCACACATCACAAACAAGTTTCTGAGAATGCTTCTGTGTAGTTTTTATGGGTAGACATTCCCTTTTTCACCAAAGGAATCAAAGCGCTCCAAATGTCCACTTCCAGACACTACAAAAAGAGTGTTTCAAACGTGCTCTAAGAAAGCGAATGTTCAACTCTGTGACTTGAATGCAGATATCACAAAGTAGTTTCTGAGAGTGCTTCTGTCTAGATTTTAGATGATGATATTCCCGTTTCCAACGAAATCATTAGAGCTATCCAAATATCCACTTACAGTTTCTACAAAAAAAGTGTTTCCAAACTGCTGCATCAGAAGAGAGGTTCCACTCTGTTAGCTGAGTACACACATCACAAACTTGTTTCTCAGAATCCTTCTGTCTCGTTTTTATGGGAAGATATTTACTTTCTCACCGTAGGCATCAAAGCGCTCCAAATGTCCACATCCAGATACTCCAGAAAGAGTGTTTCAAACCTGCTCTATGAAAGGGAATCTTCAACTCTATGAGTTGAATGCAGACATCAGAAAGAAATTTCTGAGAATGCTGCTGTCTGCCTTTTATTTGAATTCCCGCTTCCAACGAAATCCTCCAAGCTATCCAAATATCCACTTGCAGATTCCACAAAAAGAGTGTTTCAAAACTGCTCTCTATCAATGGCAAAGTTCAACTCTGTTAGTTGAGGACACATATCACCAACAAGTTTCTGAGAATGCTTCTGTCTATTTTTTATGGGAAGATATTTCCTTTTTCACCGTAGGCGTCAAGGCGATCGAAATGTCCACTTCCACAAACTACAAAAAGAGTGTTTCAAACCTGCTCTATGAAAGGCCATGTTCATCTCTATGACTTGAATGGAAATATCCGAAAGAAATTTCTGGGAATGCTGCTGTCTAGTTTTTATACGAATTCCCGCTTCCAACGAAATCCTCAAAGCAATCCAAATATCCACTTGCAGAATCCACAAAAAGAGTGTTTCAAAACTGCTCTATCAATAGAAAGGTTCAACTCTTTTAGTTGAGTACACACATCACAAACAAGTTTCTGAGAATGCTTCTGTCTGGCTTTTATTGGAAGACGTTTCCTTTTCACCAAAGGCATCAAAATGCTCCAAATGTCCACTTCCAGATTCTTCCAAAAGAGTGTTTCAAACGTGCTCAAAGTAAGGGAATGTTCAACTCTTTGACTTGAATGCAGATATCACCAAGTAGTTTCTAATAGTGCTTCTGTCTAGATTTTAGATGACGATATTCCCGTTTCCAGCGAAATCGTTAGAGCTATCCAAATATCCACTTACAGTTTCTACAAAAAGAGTGTTTCCAAACTGCTGCATCAAAAGAAAGGTTCAACTCTGTTAGTTGAGGACACACATCACAAAGAAGTTTGTGAGAATGCTTCTGTCTAGATGTTGTATGACCATATTCCCTTTTCCAACAATATCGTTAAAGCAATCTAAATATCAATTTGCAGAATCCACAAAAATAGAGTTTCAAAGCTGCTCTGTAAAAAGAAAGGTTCCACTCTGTTAGCTGAGTACACACATCACAAACTTGTTTCTGAGAATCCTGCTGTCTACCTTTTATTTGAATTCCCGCTTCCAACGAAATCCTCCAAGCTATCCAAATATCCACTTGCATTTTCCACAAAAAGAGTGTTTCAAAACTGCTCTATCAATAGAAATGTTCAACTCTTTTAGCTGGGTACACACATCACAAACAAGTTTCTGAGAATGCTTCTGTCTAGTTTTCATGGGAAGACATTCCCTTTTTCACCAAAGGCATCAAAGCGCTCCAAATGTCCACTTCCAGACACCACAGAAAGAGTGTTTCCAACGTGCTCTAAGAAAGCGAATGTTCAACTCTGTGACTTGAATGCAGATATCACAAAGTAGTTTCTGAGAGGGCTTCTGTCTAGATTTTAGATGATGATATTCCCGTTTCCAACGAAATCATTAGAGCTATCCAAATATCCACTTACAGTTTCTGCAAAAAGAGTGTTTCCAAACTGCTGCATCAAAAGAGAGGTTCCACTCTGTTAGCTGAGTACACACATCACAAACTTGTTTCTCAGAATCCTTCTGTCTCGTTTTTATGGGAAGATATTTACTTTTTCACCGTAGGCATCAAAGCGCTCCAAATGTCCACATCCAGATACTCCAGAAAGAGTATTTCAAACCTGCCCTATGAAAGGGAATGTTCAACTCTATGAGTTGAATGCAGAGATCAGAAAGAAATTTCTGAGAATGCTGCTGTCTACCTTTTATTTGAATTCCCGCTTCCAACGAAATCCTCCAAGCTATCCAAATATCCACTTGCAGATTCCACAAAAAGAGTGTTTCAAAACTGCTCTCTATCAATGGCAAAGTTCAACTCTGTTAGTTGAGGACACATATCACCAACAAGTTTCTGAGAATGCTTCTGTCTATTTTTTATGGGAAGATATTTCCTTTTTCAGCGTAGGCGTCAAGGCGATCGAAATGTCCACTTCCACAAACTACAAAAAGAGTGTTTCAAACCTGCTCTATGAAAGGCCATGTTCATCTCTATGAGTTGAATGGAAATATCCGAAAGAAATTTCTGGGAATGCTGCTGTCTAGTGTTTATACGAATTCCCGCTTCCAACGAAATCCTCAAAGCAATCCAAATATCCACTTGCAGAATCCACAAAAAGAGTGTTTCAAAACTGCGCTATCAATAGAAAGGTTCAACTCTTTTAGTTGAGTACACACATCACAAACAAGTTTCTGAGAATGCTTCTGTCTGGCTTTTATTGGAAGACGTTTCCTTTTCACCAAAGGCATCAAAGCGCTCCAAATGTCCACTTCCAGATTCTTCCAAAAGAGTGTTTCAAACGTGCTCAAAGTAAGGGAATGTTCAACTCTTTGACTTGAATGCAGATATCACCAAGTAGTTTCTAATAGTGCTTCTGTCTAGATTTTAGATGATGATATTCCCGATTCCAACGAAATCGTTAGAGCTATCCAAATATCCACTTACAGTTTCTACAAAAAGAGTGTTTCCAAACTGCTGCATCAAAAGAAAGGTTCAACTCTGTTAGTTGAGGACACACATCACAAAGAAGTTTGTGAGAATGCTTCTGTCTAGATTTTGTATGACGATATTCCCTTTTCCAACGATATCGTTAAATCAATCTAAATATCAATTTGCAGAATCCACAAAAATAGAGTTTCAAAGCTGCTCTGTAAAAAGAAAGGTTCCACTCTGTTAGCTGAGTACACACATCACAAACTTGTTTCTCAGAATCCTTCTGTCTCGTTTTTATGGGAAGATATTTACTTTTTCACCATAGGCATCAAAGCGCTCCAAATGTCCACATCCAGATACTCCAGAAAGACTGTTTCAAACCTGCTCTATGAAAGGGAATCTTCAACTCTATGAGTTGAATGCAGACATCAGAAAGAAATTTCTGAGAATGCTGCTGTCTACCTTTTATTTGAATTCCCGCTTCCAACGAAATCCTCCAAGCTATCCAAATATCCACCTGCATTTTCCACAACAAGAGTGATTCAAAACTGCTCTATCAATAGAAATGTTCAACTCCTTTGGCTGGGTACACACATCACAAACAAGTTTCTGAGAATGCTTCTGTCTAGTTTTTATGGGAAGACATTCCCTTTTTCACCAAGGCATCAAAGCGCTCCAAATGTCCACTTCCAGACACTACAAAAAGAGTGTTTCCAACGTGCTCTAAGAAAGCGAATGTTCAACTCTGTGACTTGAATGCAGATATCACAAAGTAGTTTCTGAGAGGGCTTCTGTCTAGATTTTAGATGATGATATTCCCGTTTCCAACGAAATCATTAGAGCTATCCAAATATCCACTTCCAGTTTCTACAAAAAGAGTGTTTCCAAACTACTGCATCAAAAGAGAGGTTCCACTCTGTTAGCTGAGTACACACATCACAAACTAGTTTCTCAGAATCCTTCTGTCTCGTTTTTATGGGAAGATATTTACTTTTTCACCGTAGGCATCAAAGCGCTCCAAATGTCCACATCCAGATACTACAGAAAGAGTATTTCAAACCTGCCCTATGAAAGGGAATGTTCAACTCTATGAGTTGAATGCAGACATCAGAAAGAAATTTCTGAGAATGCTGCTGTCTACCTTTTATTTGAATTCCCGCTTCCAACGAAATCCTCCAAACTATCCAAATATCCACTTGCAGATTCAGGAAAAAGAGTGTTTCAAAACTGCTCTCTATCAATGGCAAAGTTCAACTCTGTTAGTTGAGGACACATATCACCAACAAGTTTTCTGAGAATGCTTCTGTCTATTTTTTATGGGAGGATATTTCCTTTTTCACCGTAGGCGTCAAGGCGATCGAAATGTCCACTTCCACAAACTACAAAAAGAGTGTTTCAAACCTGCTCTATGAAAGGCCATGTTCATCTCTATGAGTTGAATGGAAATATCCGAAAGAAATTTCTGGGAATGCTGCTGTCTAGTTTTTATACGAATTCCCGCTTCCAACGAAATCCTCAAAGCAATCCAAATATCCACTTGCAGAATCCACAAAAAGAGTGTTTCAAAACTGCTCTATCAATAGAAAGGTTCAACTCTTTTAGTTGAGTACACACATCACAAACAAGTTTCTGAGAATGCTTCTGTCTGGCTTTTATTGGAAGACGTTTCCTTTTCACCAAAGGCATCAAAGCGCTCCAAATGTCCACTTCCAGATTCTTCCAAAAGAGTGTTTGAAACGTGCTCAAAGTAAGGGAATGTTCAACTCTGTGACTTGAATGCAGATATCACCAAGTAGTTTCTAATAGTGCTTTCTGTCTAGATTTTAGATGATGATATTCCCGTTTCCAACGAAATCGTTAGAGCTATCCAAATATCCACTTACAGTTGCTACAAAAACAGTGTTTCCAAACTGCTGCATCAAAAGAAAGGTTCAACTCTGTTAGTTGAGGACACACATCACAAAGAAGTTTGTGAGAATGCTTCTGTCTAGATTTTGTATGACCATATTCCCTTTTCCAACGATATCGTTAAAGCAATCTAAATATCAATTTGCAGAATCCACAAAAATAGAGTTTCAAAGCTGCTCTGTAAAAAGAAAGGTTCCACTCTGTTAGCTGAGTACACACATCACAAACTTGTTTCTGAGAATCCTTCTGTCTCGTTTTTATGGGAAGATATTTACTTTTTCACCGTAGGCATCAAAGCGCTCCAAATGTCCACATCCAGATACTACAGAAAGAGTATTTCAAACCTGCTCTATGAAAGGGAATCTTCAACTCTATGAGTTGAATGCAGACATCAGAAAGAAATTTCTGAGAATGCTGCTGTCTAACTTTTATTTGAATTCCCGCTTCCAACGAAATCCTCCAAGCTATCCAAATATCCACCTGCATTTTCCACAAAAAGAGTGTTTCAAAACTGCTCTATCAATAGAAATGTTCAACTCCTTTGGCTGGGTACACACATCACAAACAAGTTTCTGAGAATGCTTCTGTCTAGTTTTTATGGGTAGACATTCCCTTTTTCACCAAAGGAATCAAAGCGCTCCAAATGTCCACTTCCAGACACTACAAAAAGAGTGTTTCAAACGTGCTCTAAGAAAGCGAATGTTCAACTCTGTGACTTGAATGCAGATATCACAAAGTAGTTTCTGAGAGGGCTTCTGTCTAGATTTTAGATGATGATATTCCCGTTTCCAACGAAATCATTAGAGCTATCCAAATATCCACTTACAGTTTCTACAAAAAGAGTGTTTCCAAACTGCTGCATCAAAAGAGAGGTTCCACTCTGTTAGCTGAGCACACACATCACAAACTTGTTTCTCAGAATCCTTCTGTCTCGTTTTTATGGGAAGATATTTACTTTTTCACCGTAGGCATCAAAGCGCTCCAAATGTCCACATCCAGATACTACAGAAAGAGTATTTCAAACCTGCCCTATGAAAGGGAATCTTCAACTCTATGAGTTGAATGCAGACATCAGAAAGAAATTTCTGAGAATGCTGCTGTCTACCTTTTATTTGAATTCCCGCTTCCAACGAAATCCTCCAAGCTATCCAAATATCCACTTGCAGATTCCACAAAAAGAGTGTTTCAAAACTGCTCTCTATCAATGGCAAAGTTGAACTCTGTTAGTTGAGGACACATATCACCAACAAGTTTCTGAGAATGCTTCTGTCTATTTTTTATGGGAAGATATTTCCTTTTTCACCGTAGGCGTCAAGGCGATCGAAATGTCCACTTCCACAAACTACAAAAAGAGTGTTTCAAACCTGCTCTATGAAAGGCCATGTTCATCTCTATGAGTCGAATGGAAATATCCGAAAGAAATTTCTGGGAATGCTGCTGTCTAGTTTTTATACGAATTCCCGCTTCCAACGAAATCCTCAAAGCAATCCAAATATCCACTTGCAGAATCCACAAAAAGAGTGTTTCAAAACTGCTCTATCAATAGAAAGGTTCAACTCTTTTTAGTTGAGTACACACATCACAAACAAGTTTCTGAGAATGCTTCTGTCTGGCTTTTATTGGAAGACGTTTCCTTTTCACCAAAGGCATCAAAGCGCTCCAAATGTCCACTTCCAGATTCTTCCAAAAGAGTGTTTGAAACGTGCTCAAAGTAAGGGAATGTTCAACTCTGTGACTTGAATGCAGATATCACCAAGTAGTTTCTAATAGTGCTTCTGTCTAGATTTTAGATGATGATATTCCCGTTTCCAACAAAATCGTTAGAGCTATCCAAATATCCACTTACAGTTGCTACAAAAACAGTGTTTCCAAACTGCTGCATCAAAAGAAAGGTTCAACTCTGTTAGTTGAGGACACACGTCACAAAGAAGTTTGTGAGAATGCTTCTGTCTAGGTTTTGTATGACGATATTCCCTTTTCCAACGATATCGTTAAAGCAATCTAAATATCAATTTGCAGAATCCACAAAAATAGAGTTTCAAAGCTGCTCTGTAAAAAGAAAGGTTCCACTCTGTTAGCTGAGTACACACATCACAAACTTGTTTCTCAGAATCCTTCTGTCTCTTTTTTATGGGAAGATATTTACTTTTTCACCGTAGGCATCAAAGCGCTCCAAATGTCCACATCCAGATACTCCAGAAAGAGTGTTTCAAACCTGCTCTATGAAAGGGAATCTTCAACTCTATGAGTTGAATGCAGACATCAGAAAGAAATTTCTGAGAATGCTGCTGTCTACCTTTTATTTGAATTCCCGCTTCCAACGAAATCCTCCAAGCTATCCAAATATCCACTTGCAGATTCCACAAAAAGAGTGTTTCAAAACTGCTCTCTATCAATGGCAAAGTTCAACTCTGTTAGTTGAGGACACATATCACCAACAAGTTTCTGAGAATGCTTCTGTCTATTGTTTATGGGAAGATATTTCCTTTTTCACCGTAGGCGTCAAGGCGATCGAAATGTCCACTTCCACAAACTACAAAAAGAGTGTTTCAAACCTGCTCTATGAAAGGCGATGTTCATCTCTATGAGTTGAATGGAAATATCCGAAAGAAATTTCTGGGAATGCTGCTGTCTAGTTTTTATATGAATTCCCGCTTCCAACGAAATCCTCAAAGCAATCCAAATATCCACTTGCAGAATCCACAAAAAGAGTGTTTCAAAACTGCTCTATCAATAGAAAGGTTCAACTCTTTTAGTTGAGTACACACATCACCAACAAGTTTCTGAGAATGCTTCTGTCTGGCTTTTATTGGAAGACGTTTCCTTTTCACCAAAGGCATCAAAGCGCTCCAAATGTCCACTTCCAGATTCTTCCAAAGGAGTGTTTCAAACGTGCTCGAAGTAAGGGAATGTTCTACTCTGTGACTTGAATGCAGATATCACCAAGTAGTTTCTAATAGTGCTTCTGTCTAGATTTTAGGTGATGATATTCCCGTTTCCAACGAAATCGTTAGAGCTATCCAAATATCCAGTTACAGTTTCTACCGAAAGGGTGTTTCCAAATTGCTGCATCAAAAGAAAGGTTCAACTCTGTTAGTTGAGGACACACATCACAAAGAAGTTTGTGAGAATGCTTCTGTCTAGATTTTGTATGACGATATTCCCTTTTCCAACGATATCGTTAAAGCAATCTAAATATCAATTTGCAGAATCCACGAAAATAGAGTTTCAAAGCTGCTCTGTAAAAAGAAAGGCTCCACTCTGTTAGCTGAGTACACACATCACAAACTTGTTTCTGAGAATCCTTCTGTCTCGTTTTTATGGGAAGATATTTACTTTTCCACCGTAGGCATCAAAGCGCTCCAAATGTCCACATCCAGATACTCCAGAAAGAGTATTTCAAACCTGCTCTATGAAAGGGAATCTTCAACTCTATGAGTTGAATGCAGACATCAGAAAGAAATTTCTGAGAATGCTGCTGTCTACCTTTTATTTGAATTCCCGCTTCCAACGAAATCCTCCAAGCTATCCAAATATCCACCTGCATTTTCCACAAAAAGAGTGTTTCAAAACTGCTCTATCAATAGAAATGTTCAACTCCTTTGGCTGGGTACACACATCACAAACAAGTTTCTGAAAATGCTTCTGTCTAGTTTTTATGGGTAGACATTCCCTTTTTCACCAAAGGAATCAAAGCGCTCCAAATGTCCACTTCCAGACACTACAAAAAGAGTGTTTCAAACGTGCTCTAAGAAAGCGAATGTTCAACTCTGTGACTTGAATGCAGATATCACACAGTAGTTTCTGAGAGGGCTTCTGTCTAGATTTTAGACGATGATATTCCCGTTTCCAACGAAATCATTAGAGCTATCCAAATATCCACTTACAGTTTCTACAAAAAGAGTGTTTCCAAACTGCTGCATCAAAAGAGAGGTTCCACTCTGTTAGCTGAGTACACACATCACAAACTTGTTTCTCAGAATCCTTTCTGTCTCGTTTTTATGGGAAGATATTTACTTTTTCAACGTAGGCATCAAAGCGCTCCAAATGTCCACATCCAGATACTCCACAAAGAGTGTTTCAAACCTGCTCTATGAAAGGGAATCTTCAACTCTATGAGTTGAATGCAGACATCAGAAAGAAATTCCTGAGAATGCTGCTGTCTACCTTTTATTTGAATTCCCGCTTCCAACGAAATCCTCCAAGCTATCCAAATATCCACTTGCAGATTCCACAAAAAGAGTGTTTCAAAACTGCTCTCTATCAATGGCAAAGTTCAACTCTGTTAGTTGAGGACACATATCAACAACAAGTTTCTGAGAATGCTTCTGTCTATTTTTTATGGGAAGATATTTCCTTTTTCACCGTAGGCGTCAAGGCGATCGAAATGTCCACTTCCACAAACTACAAAAAGAGTGTTTCAAACCTGCTCTATGAAAGGCCATGTTCATCTCTATGAGTTGAATGGATATATCCGAAAGAAATTTCTGGGAATGCTGCTGTCTAGTTTTTATACGAATTCCCGCTTCCAACGAAATCCTCAAAGCAATCCAAATATCCACTTGCAGAATCCACAAAAAGAGTGTTTCAAAACTGCTCTATCAATAGAAAGGTTCAACTCTTTTAGTTGAGTACACACATCACAAACAAGTTTGCTGAGAATGCTTCTGTCTGGCTTTTATTGGAAGCCGTTTCCTTTTCACCAAAGGCATCAAAGCGCTCCAAATGTCCACTTCCAGATTCTTCCAAAAGAGTGTTTCAAACGTGCTCAAAGTAAGGGAATGTTCAACTCTGTGACTTGAATGCAGATATCACCAAGTAGTTTCTAATAGTGCTTCTGTCTAGATTTTAGATGACGATATTCCCGTTTCCAGCGAAATCGTTAGAGCTATCCAAATATCCACTTACAGTTTCTACAAAAAGAGTGTTTCCAAACTGCTGCATCAAAAGAAAGGTTCAACTCTGTTAGTTGAGGACACACATCACAAAGAAGTTTGTGAGAATGCTTCTGTCCAGATTTTGTATGACGATATTCCCTTTTCCAACGATATCGTTAAAGCAATCTAAATATCCATTTGCAGAATCCACAAAAATAGAGTTTCAAAGCTGCTCTGTAAAAAGAAAGGTTCCACTCTGTTAGCTGAGTACACACATCACAAACTTGTTTCTGAGAATCCTTCTGTCTCGTTTTTATGGGAAGATATTTACTTTTTCACCGTAGGCATCAAAGCGCTCCAAATGTCCACATCCAGATACTCCAGAAAGAGTGTTTCAAACCTGCTCTATGAAAGAGAATCTTCAACTCTATGAGTTGAATGCAGACATCAGAAAGAAATTTCTGAGAATGCTGCTGTCTACCTTTTATTTGAATTCCCGCTTCCAACGAAATCCTCCAAGCTATCCAAATATCCACTTGCATTTTCCACAAAAAGAGTGTTTCAAGACTGCTCTATCAATAGAAATGTTCAACTCCTTTAGCTGGGTACACACATCACAAACAAGTTTCTGAGAATGCTTCTGTCTAGTTTTTATGGGAAGACATTCCCCTTTTCACCAAAGGCATCAAAGCGCTCCAAATGTCCACTTCCAGACACTACAAAAAGAGTGTTTCAAACGTGCTCTAAGAAAGTGAATGTTCAACTCTGTGACTTGAATGCAGATATCACAAAGTAGTTTCTGAGAGGGCTTCTGTCTAGATTTTAGATGATGATATTCCCGTTTCCAACGAAATCATTAGAGCTATCCAAATATCCACTTACAGTTTCTACAAAAAGAGTGTTTCCAAACTGCTGCATCAAAAGAGAGGTTCCACTCTGTTAGCTGAGTAAAGACATCACAAACTTGTTTCTGAGAATCCTTCTGTCTCGTTTTTATGGGAAGATATTTACTTTTTCACCGTAGGCATCAAAGCGCTCCAAATGTCCACATCCAGATACTCCAGAAAGAGTGTTTCAAACCTGCTCTATAAAAGGGAATCTTCAACTCTATGAGTTGAATGCAGACATCAGAAAGAAATTTCTGAGAATGCTGCTGTCTACCTTTTATTTGAATTCCCGCTTCCAACGAAATCCTCCAAGCTATCCAAATATCCACTTGCAGATTCCACAAAAAGAGTGTTTCAAAACTGCTCTCTATCAATGGCAAAGTTCAACTCTGTTAGATGAGGACACATATCACCAACAAGTTTCTGAGAATGCTTCTGTCTATTTTTATGGGAAGATATTTCCTTTTTCACCGTAGGCGTCAAGGCGATCGAAATGTCCACTTCCACAAACTACAAAAAGAGTGTTTCAAGCCTGCTCTATGAAAGGCCATGTTCATCTCTATGAGTTGAATGGAAATATCCGAAAGAAATTTCTGGGAATGCTGCTGTCTAGTGTTTATACGAATTCCCGCTTCCAACGAAATCCTCAAAGCAATCCAAATATCCACTTGCAGAATCCACAAAAAGAGTGTTTCAAAACTGCTCTATCAATAGAAAGGTTCAACTCTTTTAGTTGAGTACACACATCACAAACAAGTTTCTGAGAATGCTTCTGTCTGGCTTTTATTGGAAGACGTTTCCTTTTCACCAAAGGCATCAAAGCGCTCCAAATGTCCACTTCCAGATTCTTCCAAAAGAGTGTTTGAAACGTGCTCAAAGTAAGGGAATGTTCAACTCTGTGACTTGAATGCAGATATCACCAAGTAGTTTCTAATAGTGCTTCTGTCTACATTTTAGATGATGATATTCCCGTTTCCAACGAAATCGTTAGAGCTATCCAAATATCCAGTTACAGTTTCTACCAAAAGGGTGTTTCCAAATTGCTGCATCAAAAGAAAGGTTCAACTCTGTTAGTTGAGGACACACATCACAAAGAAGTTTGTGAAAATGCTTCTGTCTAGATTTTGTATGAAGATATTCCCTTTTCCAACGATGTCATTAAATCAACCCAAATATCAATTTGCAGAATCCACAGAAATAGAGTTTCAAAGCTGCTCTGTAAAAAGAAAGGATCCACTCTATTAGCTGAGTACACACATAAAAAACTTGTTTCTGAGAATCCTTCTGTCTCGTTTTTATGGGAAGATATTTACTTTTCCACCGTAGGCATCAAAGCGCTCCAAATGTCTACATCCAGATACTCCAGAACGAGTGTTTCAAACCTGCTCTATGAAAGGGAATCTTCAACTCTATGAGTTGAATGCAGACATCAGAAAGAAATTTCTGAGAATGCTGCTGTCTACCTTTTATTTGAATTCCCGCTTCCAACGAAATCCTCCAAGCTATCCAAATATCCACTTGCATTTTCCACAACAAGAGTGTTTTAAAACTGCTCTATCAATAGAAATGTTCAACTCCTTTGGCTGGGTACACACATCACAAACAAGTTTCTGAGAATGCTTCTGTCTAGTTTTTATGGGAAGACGTTCCCTTTTTCACCAAAGGCATCAAAGCGCTCCAAATGTCCACTTCCAGACACTACAAAAAGAGTGTTTCAAACGTGCTCTAAGAAAACGAATGTTCAACTCTGTGACTTGAATGCAGATATCACAAAGTAGTTTCTGAGAGGGCTGCTGTCTAGATTTTAGATGATGATATTCCCGTTTCCAACGAAATCATTAGAGCTATCCAAATATCCACTTACAGTTTCTACAAAAAGAGTGTTTCCAAACTGCTGCATCAAAACAGAGGTTCCACTCTGTTAGCTGAGTACACACATCACAAACTTGTTTCTCAGAATCCTTCTGTCTCGTTTTTATGGGAAGATATTTACTTTTCCACCGTAGACATCAAAGCGCTCCAAATGTCCACATCCAGATACTCCAGAAAGAGTGTTTCAAACCTGCTCTATGAAAGGGAATCTTCAACTCTATGAGTTGAATGCAGACATCAGAAAGAAATTTCTGAGAATGCTGCTGTCTACCTTTTATTTGAATTCCCGCTTCCAACGAAATCCTCCAAGCTATCCAAATATCCACTTGCAGATTCCACAAAAAGAGTGTTTCAAAACTGCTCTCTATCAATGGCAAAGTTCAACTCTGTTAGTTGAGGACACATATCACCAACAAGTTTCTGAGAATGCTTCTGTCTATTTTTTATGGGAAGATATTTCCTTTTTCACCGTAGGCGTCAAGGCGATCGAAATGTCCACTTCCACAAACTACAAAAAGAGTGTTTCAAACCTGCTCTATGAAAGGCCATGTTCATCTCTATGAGTTGAATGGAAATATCCGAAAGAAATTTCTGGGAATGCTGCTGTCTAGTTTTTATACGAATTCCCGCTTCCAACGAAATCCTCAAAGCAATCCAAATATCCACTTGCAGAATCCACAAAAAGAGTGTTTCAAAACTGCTCTATCAATAGAAAGGTTCAACTCTTTTAGTTGAGTACACACATCAAGAACAAGTTTCTGAGAATGCTTCTGTCTGACTTTTATTGGAAGACGTTTCCTTTTCACCAAAGGCATCAAAGCGCTCCAAATGTCCACTTCCAGATTCTTCCAAAAGAGTGTTTCAAACGTGCTCAAAGTAAGGGAATGTTCAACTCTGTGACTTGAATGCAGATATCACCAAGTAGTTTCTAATAGTGCTTCTGTCTAGATTTTAGATGATGATATTCCCGTTTCCAACGAAATCGTTAGAGCTATCCAAATATCCACTTACAGTTTCTACAAAAACAGTGTTTCCAAACTGCTGCATCAAAAGAAAAGTTCAACTCTGTTAGTTGAGGACACACATCACAAAGAAGTTTGTGAGAATGCTTCTGTCTAGATTTTGTATGACCATATTCCCTTTTCCAGCGATATCGTTAAAGCAATCTAAATATCCATTTGCAGAATCCACAAAAATAGAGTTTCAAAGCTGCTCTGTAAAAAGAAAGGTTCCACTCTGTTAGCTGAGTACACACATCACAAACTTGTCTCTCAGAATCCTTCTGTCTCGTTTTTATGGGAAGATATTTACTTTTTCACCGTAGGCATCAAAGCGCTCCAAATGTCCACATCCAGATACTCCAGAAAGAGTGTTTCAAACCTGCTCTATGAAAGGGAATCTTCAACTCTATGAGTTGAATGCAGACATCAGAAAGAAATTTCTGAGAATGCTGCTGTCTACCTTTTATTTGAACTCCCGCTTCCAACGAAATCCTCCAAGCTATCCAAATATCCACTTGCATTTTCCACAAAAAGAGTGCTTCAAAACTGCTCTATCAATAAATGTTCAACTCCTTTAGCTGGGTGCACACATCACAAACAAGTTTCTGAGAATGCTTTCTGTCTAGATTTTATGGGAAGACATTCCCTTTTTCACCAAAGGCATCAAAGCGCTCCAAATGTCCACTTCCAGACACTACAAAAAGAGTGTTTCCAACGTGCTCTAAGAAAGCGAATGTTCAACTCTGTGACTTGAATGCAGATATCACAAAGTAGTTTCTGAGAGGGCTTCTGTCTAGATTTTAGATGATGATATTCCCGTTTCCAACGAAATCATTAGAGCTATCCAAATATCCACTTACAGTTTCTACAAAAAGAGTGTTTCCAAACTGCTGCATCAAAAGAGAGGTTCCACTCTGTTAGCTGAGTACACACATCACAAACTTGTTTCTGAGAATCCTTCTGTGTCGTTTTTATGGGAAGATATTTACTTTTTCACCGTAGGCATCAAAGCGCTCCAAATGTCCACATCCAGATACTCCAGAAAGAGTGTTTCAAACCTGCTCTATGAAAGGGAATATTCAACTCTATGAGTTGAATGCAGACATCAGAAAGAAATTTCTGAGAATGCTGCTGTCTACCTTTTATTTGAATTCCCGCTTCCAACGAAATCCTCCAAGCTATCCAAATATCCACTTGCAGATTCCACAAAAAGAGTGTTTCAAAACTGCTCTCTATCAATGGCAAAGTTCAAATCTGTTAGTTGAGGACACATATCACCAACAAGTTTCTGAGAATGCTTCTGTCTAGTTTTTATGGGAAGACATTCCCTTTTTCACCAAAGGCATCAAAGCGCTCCAAATGTCCACTTCCACAAACTACAAAAAGAGTGTTTCAAACCTGCTCTATGAAAGGCCATGTTCATCTCTATGAGTCGAATGGAAATATCCGAAAGAAATTTCTGGGAATGCTGCTGTCTAGTGTTTATACGAATTCCCGCTTCCAACGAAATCCTCAAAGCAATCCAAATATCCACTTGCAGAATCCACAAAAAGAGTGTTTCAAAACTGCTCTGTCAATAGAAAGGTTCAACTCTTTTAGTTGAGTACACACATCACGAACAAGTTTCTGAGAATGCTTCTGTCTGGCTTTTATTGGAAGACGTTTCCTTTTCACCAAAGGCATCAAAGCGCTCCAAATGTCCACTTCCAGATTCTTCCAAAAGAGTGTTTCAAACGTGCTCAAAGTAAGGGAATGTTCAACTCTGTGACTTGAATGCAGATATCACCAAGTAGTTTCTAATAGTGCTTCTGTCTAGATTTTAGATGATGATATTCCCGTTTCCAACGAAATCGTTAGAGCTATCCAAATATCCAGTTACAGTTTCTACCAAAAGGGTGTTTCCAAATTGCTGCATCAAAAGAAAGGTTCAACTCTGTTAGTTGAGGACACACATCACAAAGAAGTTTGTGAGAATGCTTCTGTCTAGATTTTGTATGACGATATTCCCTTTTCCAACGATATCGTTAAAGCAACCTAAATATCAATTTGCAGAATCCACAAAAATAGAGTTTCAAAGCTGCTCTGTAAAAAGAAAGGTTCCACTCTGTTAGCTGAGTACACACATCACAAACTTGTTTCTGAGAATCCTTCTGTCTCGTTTTTATGGGAAGATATTTACTTTTTCACCGTAGGCATCAAAGCGCTCCAAATGTCCACATCCAGATACTCCAGAAAGAGTGTTTCAAACCTGCTCTATGAAAGGGAATCTTCAACTCTATGAGTTGAATGCAGACATCAGAAAGAAATTTCTGAGAATGCTGCTGTCTACCTTTTATTTGAACTCCCGCTTCCAACGAAATCCTCCAAGCTATCCAAATATCCACTTGCATTTTCCACAAAAAGAGTGCTTCAAAACTGCTCTATCAATAAATGTTCAACTCCTTTAGCTGGGTGCACACATCACAAACAAGTTTCTGAGAATGCTTCTGTCTAGTTTTTATGGGAAGACATTTCCTTTTTCACCAAAGGCATCAAAGAGCTCCAAATGTCCACTTCTAGATACTACAAAAAGAGTGTTTCAAAAGTGCTCTAAGAAAGCGAATGTTCAACTCTGTGACTTGAATGCAGATATCACAAAGTAGTTTCTGAGAGTGCTTCTGTCTAGATTTTGTATGAGGATATTCCCTTTTCCAACGATATCGTTAAAGCAATCTAAATATCAATTTGCAGAATCCACAAAAATAGAGTTTCAAAGCTGCTCTGTAAAAAGAAAGGTTCCACTCTGTTAGCTGAGTACACACATCACAAACTTGTTTCTCAGAATCCTGCTGTCTACCTTTTATTTGAATTCCCGCTTCCAACGAAATCCTCCTAGCTATCCAAACATCCACTTGCATTTTCCACAAAAAGAGTGTTTCAAAACTGCTCTATCAATAGAAACTTTCAACTCCTTTAGCTGGGTACACACATCACAAACAAGTTTCTGAGAACGCTTCTGTCTAGTTTTTATGGGTAGACATTCCCTTTTTCACCAAAGGAATCAAAGCGCTCCAAATGTCCACTTCCAGCCAATACAAAAAGAGTGTTTCAAACGTGCTCTACGAAAGCGAATGTTCAACTCTGTGACTTGAATGCAGATATCACACAGTAGTTTCTGAGAGTGCTTCTGTCTAGATTTTAGATGATGATATTCCCGTTTCCAACGAAATCATTAGAGCTATCCAAATATCCACTTACAGTTTCTACAAAAAGAGTGTTTCGAAACTGCTGCATCAAAAGAGATTTCCACTCTGTTAGCTGAGTACACACATCACAAACTTGTTTCTCAGAATCCTTCCGTCTCGTTTTAATGGGAAGATATTTACTTTTTCACCATAGGCATCAAAGCGCTCCAAATGTCCACATCCAGATACTACAGAAAGAGTATTTCAAACCTGCTCTATGAAAGGGAATGTTCAACTCTATGAGTTGAATGCAGACATCAGAAAGAAATTTCTGAGAATGCTGCTGTCTACCTTTTATTTGAATTCCCGCTTCCAACGAAATCCTCCAAGCTATCCAAATATCCACTTGCAGATTCCACAAAAAGAGTGTTTCAAAACTGCTCTCTATCAATGGCAAAGTTCAACTCTGTTAGTTGAGGGCACATATCACCAACAAGTTTCTGAGAATGCTTCTGTCTATTTTTTATGGGAAGATATTTCCTTTTTCACCGTAGGCGTCAAGGCGATCGAAATGTCCACTTCCACAAACTACAAAAAGAGTGTTTCAAACCTGCTCTATGAAAGGCCATGTTCATCTCTATGAGTTGAATGGAAATATCCGAAAGAAATTTCTGGGAATGCTGCTGTCTAGTTGTTATACGAATTCCCGCTTCCAAAGAAATCCTCAAAGCAATCCAAATATCCACTTGCAGAATCCACAAAAAGAGTGTTTCAAAACTGCTCTATCAATAGAAAGGTTCAACTCTTTTAGTTGAGTACACACATCAAGAACAAGTTTCTGAGAATGCTTCTGTCTGGCTTTTATTGGAAGACGTTTCCTTTTCACCAAAGGCATCAAAGCGCTCCAAATGTCCACTTCCAGATTCTTCCAAAAGAGTGTTTCAAACGTGCTCAAAGTAAGGGAATGTTCAACTCTTTGACTTGAATGCAGATATCACCAAGTAGTTTCTAATAGTGCTTCTGTCTAGATTTTAGATGATTATATTCCCGTTTCCAACGCAATCGTTAGAGCTATCCAAATATCCACTTACAGTTTCTACAAAAAGAGTGTTTCCAAACTGCTGCATCAAAAGAAAGGTTCAACTCTGTTAGTTGAGGACACACATCACAAAGAAGTTTGTGAGAATGCTTCTGTCTAGATTTTGTATGACCATATTCCCTTTTCCAGCGATATCATTAAAGCAATCTAAATATCCATTTGCAGAATCCACAAGAATAGAGTTTCAAAGCTGCTCTGTAAAAAGAAAGGTTCCACTCTGTTAGCTGAGTACACACATCACAAACTTGTTTCTGAGAATCCTTCTGTCTCGTTTTTATGGGAACATATTTAGTTTTTCACCGTAGGCATCAAAGCGGTCCAAATGTCCACATCCAGATACTCCAGAAAGAGTGTTTCAAACCTGCTCTATGAAAGGGAATCTTCAACTCTATGAGTTGAATGCACACATCAGAAAGAAATTTCTGAGAATGTTGCTGTCTACCTTTATTTGAATTCCCGCTTCCAACGAAATCCTCCAAGCTATCCAAATATCCACCTGCATTTTCCACAACAAGAGTGTTTCAAAACTGCTCTATCAATAGAAATGTTCAACTCCTTTGGCTGGGTACACACATCACAAACAAGTTTCTGAGAATGCTTCTGTCTAGTTTTTATGGGAAGACATTCCCTTTTTCACCAAAGGCATCAAAGCACTCCAAATGTCCACTTCCAGACACTACAAAAAGAGTGTTTCAAACGTGCTCTAAGAAAGCGAATGTTCAACTCTGTGACTTGAATGCAGATATCACAAAGTAGTTTCTGACAGGGCTTCTGTCTAGATTTTAGATGATGATATTCCCGTTTCCAACGAAATCATTAGAGCTATCCAAATATCCACTTACAGTTTCTACAAAAAGTGTGTTTCCAAACTACTGCATCAAAAGAGAGGTTCCACTCTGTTAGCTGAGTACACACATCACAAACTTGTTTCTCAGAATCCTTCTGTCTCGTTTTTATGGGAAGATATTTACTTTCTCACCGCAGGCATCAAAGCGCTCCAAATGTCCACATCCATATACTCCAGAAAGAGTGTTTCAAACCTGCTCTATGAAAGGGAATCTTCAACTCTATGAGTTGAATGCAGACATCAGAAAGAAATTTCTGAGAATGCTGCTGTCTACCTTTTATTTGAATTCCCGCTTCCAACGAAATCCTCCAAGCTATCCAAATATCCACTTGCAGATTCCACAAAAAGAGTGTTTCAAAACTGCTCTCTATCAATGGCAAAGTTCAACTCTGTTAGTTGAGGACACATATCACCAACAAGTTTCTGAGAATGCTTCTGTCTATTTTTTATAGGAAGATATTTCCTTTTTCACCGTAGGCGTCAAGGCGATCGAAATGTCCACCTCCACAAACTACAAAAAGAGTGTTTCAAACCTGCTCTATGAAAGGCCATGTTCATCTCTATGAGTTGAATGGAAATATCCGAAAGAAATTTCTGGGAATGCTGCTGTCTAGTTTTTATACGAATTCCCGCTTCCAACGAAATCCTCAAAGCAATCCAAATATCCACTTGCAGAATCCACAAAAAGAGTGTTTCAAAACTGCTCTATCAATAGAAAGGTTCAACTCTTTTAGTTGAGTACACACATCACAAACAAGTTTCTGAGAATGCTTCTGTCTGGCTTTTATTAGAAGACGTTTCCTTTTCACCAAAGGCATCATCAAAGCGCTCCAAATGTCCACTTCCAGATTCTTCCAAAAGAGTGTTTGAAACGTGCTCAAAGTAAGGGAATGTTCAACTCTGTGACTTGAATGCAGATATCACCAAGTAGTTTCTAATACTGCTTCTCTCTAGATTTTAGATGATGATATTCCCGTTTCCAACGAAATCGTTAGAGCTATCCAAATATCCACTTACAGTTTCTACAAAAAGGGTGTTCCAAACTGCTGCATCAAAAGAAAGGTTCAACTCTGTTAGTTGAGGACACACATCACAAAGAAGTTTGTGAGAATGCTTCTGTCTAGGATTTTGTATGACGATATTCCCTTTTCCAACGATATCGTTAAAGCAATCTAAATATCAATTTGCAGAATCCACAAAAATAGAGTTTCAAAGCTGCTCTGTAAAAAGAAAGGTTCCACTCTGTTAGCTGAGTACACACATCACAAACTTGTTTCTGAGAATCCTTCTGTCTCGTTTTTATGGGAAGATATTTACTTTTTCACCGTAGGCATCAAAGCGCTCCAAATGTCCACATCCAGATACTCCAGAAAGAGTGTTTCAAACCTGCTCTAGGAAAGGGAATCTTCAACTCTATGAGTTGAATGCAGACATCAGAAAGAAATTTCTGAGAATGCTGCTGTCTACCTTTTATTTGAATTCCCGCTTCCAACGAAATCCTCCAAGCTATCAAAATATCCACTTGCATTTTCCACAAAAAGAGTGTTTCAAAACTGCTCTATCAATACAAATGTTCAACTCTTTAGCTGGGTACACACATCACAAACAAGTTTCTGAGAATGCTTCTGTCTAGTTTTTATGGGAAGACATTCCCTTTTTCACCAAAGGCATGAAAGCGCTCCAAATGTCCACTTCCAGACACTACAAAAAGAGTGTTTCAAACGTGCTCTAAGAAAGCGAATGTTCAACTCTGTGACTTGAATGCAGATATCACAAAGTAGTTTCTGAGAGGGCTTCTGTCTAGAATTTAGATGATGATATTCCCGTTTCCAACGAAATCATTAGAGCTATCCAAATATCCACTTACAGTTTCTACAAAAAGAGTGTTTCCAAACTGCTGCATCAAAACAGAGGTTCCACTCTGTTAGCTGAGTACACACATCACAAACTTGTTTCTCAGAATCCTTCTGTCTCGTTTTTATGGGAAGATATTTACTTTTTCACCGTAGGCAATAAAGCGCTCCAAATGTCCACATCCAGATACTCCAGAAAGAGTGTTTCAAACCTGCTCTATGAAAGGGAATGTTCAACTCTATGAGTTGAATGCAGACATCAGAAAGAAATTTCTGAGAATGCTGCTGTCTACCTTTTATTTGAATTCCCGCTTCCAACGAAATCCTCCAAGCTATCCAAATATCCACTTGCAGATTCCACAAAAAGAGTGTTTCAAAACTGCTCTCTATCAATGGCAAAGTTCAACTCTGTTAGTTGAGGACACATATCACCAACAAGTTTCTGAGAATGCTTCTGTCTATTTTTTATAGGAAGATATTTCCTTTTTCACCGTAGGTGTCAAGGCGATCGAAATGTCCACCTCCACAAACTACAAAAAGAGTGTTTCAAACCTGCTCTATGAAAGGCCATGTTCATCTCTATGAGTTGAATGGAAATATCCGAAAGAAATTTCTGGGAATGCTGCTGTCTAGTGTTTATACGAATTCCCGCTTCCAACGAAATCCTCAAAGCAATCCAAATATCCACTTGCAGAATCCACAAAAAGAGTGTTTCAAAACTGCTCTATCAATAGAAAGGTTCAACTCTTTTAGTTGAGTACACACATCACGAACAAGTTTCTGAGAATGCTTCTGTCTGGCTTTTATTGGAAGAAGTTTCCTTTTCACCAAAGGCATCAAAGCGCTCCAAATGTCCACTTCCAGATTCTTCCAAAAGAGTGTTTCAAACGTGCTCAAAGTAAGGGAATGTTCAACTCTGTGACTTGAATGCAGATATCACCAAGTAGTTTCTAATAGTGCTTCTGTCTACATTTTAGATGATGATATTCCCGTTTCCAACGAAATCGTTAGAGCTATCCAAATATCCAGTTACAGTTTCTACCAAAAGGGTGTTTCCAAATTGCTGCATCAAAAGAAAGGTTCAACTCTGTTAGTTGAGGACACACATCACAAAGAAGTTTGTGAGAATGCTTCTGTCTAGTATTTTGTATGACGATATTCCCTTTTCCAACGATATCGTTAAAGCAATCTAAATATCAATTTGCAGAATCCACAAAAATAGAGTTTCAAAGCTGCTCTGTAAAAAGAAAGGTTCCACTCTGTTAGCTGAGTACACACATCACAAACTTCTTTCTGAGAATCCTTCTGTCTCGTTTTTATGGGAAGATATTTACTTTTTCACCGTAGGCATCAAAGCGCTCCAAATGTCCACATCCAGATACTCCAGAAAGAGTGTTTCAAACCTGCTCTATGAAAGGGAGTCTTCAACTCTATGAGTTGAATGCAGACATCAGAAGGGAATTTCTGAGAATGCTGCTGTCTACCTTTTATTTGAATTCCCGCTTCCAACGAAATCCTCCAAGCTATCCAAATATCCACCTGCATTTTCCACAAAAAGAGTGTTTCAAACCTGCTCTATCAATAGAAATGTTCAACTCCTTTGGCTGGGTACACACATCACAAACAAGTTTCTGAGAATGCTTCTGTCTAGTTTTTATGGGTAGACATTCCCTTTTTCACCAAAGGAATCAAAGCGCTCCAAATGTCCACTTCCAGACACTACAAAAAGAGTGTTTCAAACGTGCTCTAAGAAAGCGAATGTTCAACTGTGTGACTTGAATGCAGATATCACAAAGTAGTTTCTGAGAGTGCTTCTGTCTAGATTTTAGATGATGATATTCCCGTTTCCAACGAAATCATTAGAGGTATCCAAATATCCACTTACAGTTTCTACAAAAAGAGTGTTTCCAAACTGCTGCATCAAAAGAGAGGTTCCACTCTGTTAGCTGAGTACACACATCACAAACTTGTTTCTCAGAATCCTTCTGTCTCGTTTTTATGGGAAGATATTTACTTTTTCACCGTAGGCATCAAAGCGCTCCAAATGTACACATCCAGATACTCCAGAAAGAGTGTTTCAAACCTGCTCTATGAAAGGGAATGTTCAACTCTATGAGTTGAATGCAGACATCAGAAAGAAATTTCTGAGAATGCTGCTGTCTACCTTTTATTTGAATTCCCGCTTCCAACGAAATCCTCCAAGCTATCCAAATATCCACTTGCAGATTCCACAAAAAGAGTGTTTCAAAACTGCTCTCTATCAATGGCAAAGTTCAACTCTGTTAGTTGAGGACACATATCACCAACAAGTTTCTGAGAATGCTTCTGGTCTATTTTTTATGGGAAGATATTTCCTTTTTCACCGTAGGCGTCAAGGCGATCGAAATGTCCACTTCCACAAACTACAAAAAGAGTGTTTCAAACCTGCTCTATGAAAGGCCATGTTCATCTCTATGAGTCGAATGGAAATATCCGAAAGAAATTTCTGGGAATGCTGCTGTCTAGTTTTTATACGAATTCCCGCTTCCAACGAAATCCTCAAAGCAATCCAAATATCCACTTGCAGAATCCACAAAAAGAGTGTTTCAAAACTGCTCTATCAATAGAAAGGTTCAACTCTTTTAGTTGAGTACACACATCACAAACAAGTTTCTGAGAATGCTTCTGTCTGGCTTTTATTGGAAGACGTTTCCTTTTCACCAAAGGCATCAAAGCGCTCCAAATGTCCACTTCCAGATTCTTCCAAAAGAGTGTTTGAAACGTGCTCAAAGTAAGGGAATGTTCAACTCTGTGACTTAAATGCAGATATCACCAAGTAGTTTCTAATAGTGCTTCTGTCTACATTTTAGATGATGATATTCCCGTTTCCAACGAAATCGTTAGAGCTATCCAAATATCCAGTTACAGTTTCTACCAAAAGGGTGCTTCCAAATTGCTGCATCAAAAGAAAGGTTCAACTCTGTTAGTTGAGGACACACATCACAAAGAAGTTTGTGAGAATGCTTTCTGTCTAGATTTTGTATGACGATATTCCCTTTTCCAACGATATCATTAAAGCAATCTAAATATCCATTTGCAGAATCCACAAAAATAGAGTTTCAAAGCTGCTCTGTAAAAAGAAAGGTTCCACTCTGTTAGCTGAGTACACACATCACAAACTTGTTTCTCAGAATCCTTCTGTCTAATTTTTATGGGAAGATATTTACTTTTTCACCGTAGGCATCAAAGCGTTCCAAATGTCCACATCCAGATAGTACAGAAAGAGTGTTTCAAACCTGCTCTATGAAAGGGAATGTTCAACTCTATGAGTTGAATGCAAACATCACAAAGAAATTTCTGAGAATGCTGCTGTCTACCTTTCATTTGAATTCCCGCTTCCAACGAAATCCTCCAGGCTATCCAAATATCCACTTGCAGATTCCACAAAAAGAGTGTTTCAAAACTGCTCTATCAATGGCAAGGTTCAACTCTGTCAGTTGAGGATACACATCACAAAAAGTTTCTGAGAATTCTTCTGTCTATTTTTTATGGGAAGATATTTCCTTTTTCACCGTAGTCATCAAGGCGATCGAAATGTCCACTTCCACAAACTACAAAAAGAGTGTTTCAAACCTGCTCTATGAAAGGCCATGTTCATCTCTATGAGTTCAATGGAAATATCAGAAAGAAATTTCTGGGAATGCTGCTGTCTAGATTTTATACGAATTCCTGCTTCCAACGAAATCCTCAAAGCAATCCAAATATCCACTTGCAGAATCCACAAAAAGAGTGTTTCAAAACTGCTCTATCAATAGAAAGGTTCAACTCTTTTAGTTGAGTACACACATCACAAACAAGTTTCTGAGAATGCTTCTGTCTGGCTTTTATTGGAAGACGTTTCCTTTTCACCAAAGGCATCATCAAAGCGCTCCAAATGTCCACTTCCAGATTCTTCCAAAAGAGTGTTTGAAACGTGCTCAAAGTAAGGGAATGTTCAACTCTGTGACTTGAATGCAGATATCACCAAGTAGTTTCTAATAGTGCTTCTGTCTAGATTTTAGATGATGATATTCCCGTTTCCAACGAAATCGTTAGAGCTATCCAAATATCCACTTACAGTTTCTACCAAAAGGGTGTTTCCAAACTGCTGCATCAAAAGAAAGGTTCAACTCTGTTAGTTGAGGACACACATCACAAAGAAGTTTGTGAGAATGCTTCTGTCCAGATTTTGTATGACGATATTCCCTTTTCCAATGATATCGTTAAAGCAATCTAAATATCCATTTGCAGAATCCACAAAAATAGAGTTTCAAAGCTGCTCTGTAAAAAGAAAGGTTCCACTCTGTTAGCTGAGTACACACATCACAAACTTGTTTCTGAGAATCCTTCTGTCTCGTTTTTATGGGAAGATATTTACTTTTTCACCGTAGGCATCAAAGCGCTCCAAATGTCCACATCCAGATACTCCAGAAAGAGCGTTTCAAACCTGCTCTATGAAAGGGAATCTTCAACTCTATGAGTTGAATGCAGACATCAGAAAGAAATTTCTGAGAATGCTGCTGTCTACCTTTTATTTGAACTCCCGCTTCCAACGAAATCCTCCAAGCTATCCAAATATCCACTTGCATTTTCCACAAAAAGAGTGCTTCAAAACTGCTCTATCAATAAATGTTCAACTCCTTTAGCTGGGTGCACACATCACAAACAAGTTTCTGAGAATGCTTCTGTCTACTTTTTAAGGGAAGACGTTTCCTTTTTCACCAAAGGCATCAAAGCGCTCCAAATGTCCACTTCCAGATTCTACAAAAAGAGTGTTTCAAACCTCCTCTAAGTAAGGGAGTTTTCAACTCTGTGACTGGAATGCAGATATCACAAAGTAGATTCTGAGACTGCTTCTGTCTAGATTTTAGATGATGATATTCCCGTTTCCAACGAAATCATTAGAGCTATCCAAATATCCACTTACAGTTTCTACAAAAAGAGTGTTTCCAAACTGCTGCATCAAAACAGAGGTTCCACTCTGTTAGCTGAGTACACACATCACAAACTTGTTTCTCAGAATCCTTCTGTCTCGTTTTTATGGGAAGATATTTACTTTTTCACCGTAGGCATCAAACCGCTCCAAATGTCCACATCCAGATACTACAGAAAGAGTATTTCAAACCTGCCCTATGAAAGGGAATGTTCAACTCTATGAGTTGAATGCAGACATCAGAAAGAAATTTCTGAGAATGCTGCTGTCTACCTTTTATTTGAATTCCCGCTTCCAACGAAATCCTCCAAACTATCCAAATATCCACTTGCAGATTCAGGAAAAAGAGTGTTTCAAAACTGCTCTCTATCAATGGCAAAGTTCAACTCTGTTAGTTGAGGACACATATCACCAACAAGTTTCTGAGAATGCTCTGTCTATTTTTTATGGGAAGATATTTCCTTTTTCACCGTAGGCGTCAAGGCGATCGAAATGTCCACTTCCACAAACTACAAAAAGAGTGTTTCAAACCTGCTCTATGAAAGGCCATGTTCATCTCTATGAGTTGAATGGAAATATCCGAAAGAAATTCTGGGAATGCTGGCTGTCTAGTGTTTATACGAATTCCCGCTTACAACGAAATCCTCAAAGCAATCCAAATATCCACTTGCAGAATCCACAAAAAGAGTGTTTCAAAACTGCTCTATCAATAGAAAGGTTCAACTCTTTTAGTTGAGTACACACATCACGAACAAGTTTCTGAGAATGCTTCTGTCTGGCTTTTATTGGAAGACGTTTCCTTTTCACCAAAGGCATCAAAGCGCTCCAAATGTCCACTTCCAGATTCTTCCAAAAGAGTGTTTCAAACGTGCTCAAAGTAAGGGAATGTTCAACTCTGTGACTTGAATGCAGATATCACCAAGTAGTTTCTAATAGTGCTTCTGTCTAGATTTTAGATGATGATATTCCCGTTTCCAACGGAATCGTTAGAGCTATCCAAATATACAGTTACAGTTTCTACCAAAAGGGTGTTTCCAAATTGCTGCATCAAAAGAAAGGTTCAACTCTGTTAGTTGAGGACACACATCACAAAGAAGTTTGTGAGAATGCTTCTGTCTAGTATTTTGTATGACCATATTCCCTTTCCCAGCGATATCATTAAAGCAATCTAAATATCCATTTGCAGAATCCACAAAAATAGAGTTTCAAAGCTGCTCTGTAAAAAGAAAGGTTCCACTCTGTTAGCTGAGTACACACATCACAAACTTGTTTCTGAGAATCCTTCTGTCTCGTTTTTATGGGAAGATATTTACTTTTTCACCGTAGGCATCAAAGCGCTCCAAATGTCCACATCCAGATACTCCAGAAAGAGTGTTTCAAACCTGCTCTATGAAAGGGAATCTTCAACTCTATGAGTTGAATGCAGACATCAGAAAGAAATTTCTGAGAATGCTGCTGTCTACCTTTTATTTGAATTCCCGCTTCCAACGAAATCCTCCAAGCTATCCAAATATCCACTTGCATTTTCCACAAAAAGAGTGTTTCAAAACTGCTCTATCAATAGAAATGTTCAACTCCTTTAGCTGGGTACACACATCACAAACAAGTTTACTGAGAATGCTTTCTGTCTAGTTTTTATGGGAAGACATTCCCTTTTTCACCAAAGGCATCACAGCGCTCCAAATGTCCACTTCCAGACACTACAAAAAGAGTGTTTCCAACGTGCTCTAAGAAACCGAATGTTCAACTCTGTGACTTGAATGCAGATATCACAAAGTAGTTTCTGAGAGGGCTTCTGTCTAGATTTTAGATGATGATATTCCCGTTTCCAACGAAATCATTAGAGCTATCCAAATATCCACTTACAGTTTCTACAAAAAGAGTGTTTCCAAACTGCTGCATCAAAAGAGGGGTTCCACTCTGTTAGCTGAGTACACACATCACAAACTTGTTTCTCAGAATCCTTCTGTCTCGTTTTTATGGGAAGATTATACTTTTTCACCGTAGGCATCAAAGCGCTCCAAATGTCCACATCCAGATACTCCAGAAAGAGTGTTTCAAACCTGCTCTATGAAAAGGAATCTTCAACTCTATGAGTTGAATGCAGACATCAGAAAGAAATTTCTGAGAATGCTGCTGTCTACCTTTTATTTGAATTCCCGCTTCCAACGAAATCCTCCAAGCTATCCAAATATCCACTTGCAGATTCCACAAAAAGAGTGTTTCAAAACTGCTCTCTATCAATGGCAAAGTTCAACTCTGTTAGTTGAGGACACATATCACCAACAAGTTTCTGAGAATGCTTCTGTCTATTTTTTATGGGAAGATATTTCCTTTTTCACCGTAGGCGTCAAGGCGATCGAAATGTCCACTTCCACAAACTACAAAAAGAGTGTTTCAAACCTGCTCTATGAAAGGCGATGTTCATCTCAATGAGTTGAATGGAAATATCCGAAAGAAATTTCTGGGAATGCTGCTGTCTAGTTTTTATATGAATTCCCGCTTCCAACGAAATCCTCAAAGCAATCCAAATATCCACTTGCAGAATCCACAAAAAGAGTGTTTCAAAACTGCTCTATCAATAGAAAGGTTCAACTCTTTTAGTTGAGTACACACATCACCAACAAGTTTCTGAGAATGCTTCTGTCTGGCTTTTATTGGAAGACGTTTCCTTTTCACCAAAGGCATCAAAACGCTCCAAATGTCCACTTCCAGATTCTTCCAAAAGAGTGTTTCAAACGTGCTCGAAGTAAGGGAATGTTCTACTCTGTGACTTGAATGCAGATATCACCAAGTAGTTTCTAATAGTGCTTCTGTCTAGATTTTAGATGATGATATTCCCGTTTCCAACGAAATCGTTAGAGCTATCCAAATATCCACTTACAGTTTCTACCAAAAGGGTGTTTCCAAATTGCTGCATCAAAAGAAAGGTTCAACTCTGTTAGTTGAGGACACACATCACAAAGAAGTTTGTGAGAATGCTTCTGTCTAGATTTTGTATGACGATATTCCCTTTTCCAACGATATCGTTAAAGCAATCTAAATATCAATTTGCAGAATCCACAAAAATAGAGTTTCAAAGCTGCTCTGTAAAAAGAAAGGTTCCACTCTGTTAGCTGAGTACACATATCACAAACTTGTTTCTGAGAATCCTTCTGTCTCGTTTTTATGGGAAGATATTTACTTTTCCACCGTAGGCATCGAAGCGCTCCAAATGTCCACATCCAGATACTCCAGAACGAGTGTTTCAAACCTGCTCTATGAAAGGGAATCTTCAACTCTATGAGTTGAATGCAGACATCAGAAAGAAATTTCTGAGAATGCTGCTGTCTACCTTTTATTTGAATTCCCGCTTCCAACGAAATCCTCCAAGCTATCCAAATATCCACTTGCATTTTCCACAACAAGAGTGTTTCAAAACTGCTCTATCAATAGAAATGTTCAACTCCTTTGGCTGGGTACACACATCACAAACAAGTTTCTGAGAATGCTTCTGTCTAGTTTTTATGGGAAGACGTTCCCCTTTTTCACCAAAGGCATCAAAGCGCTCCAAATGTCCACTTCCAGACACTACAAAAAGAGTGTTTCAAACGTGCTCTAAGAAAGCGAATGTTCAACTCTGTGACTTGAATGCAGATATCACAAAGTAGTTTCTGAGAGGGCTTCTGTCTAGATTTTAGATGATGATATTCCCGTTTCCAACGAAATCGTTAGAGCTATCCAAATATCCACTTACAGTTTCTACAAAAAGAGTGTTTCCAAACTGCTGCATCAAAAGAAAGGTTCAACTCTGTTAGTTGAGGACACACATCAGAAAGAAGTTTGTGAGAATGCTTCTGTCTAGATTTTGTATGACCATATTCCCTTTTCCAGCGATATCATTAAAGCAATCTAAATATCCATTTGCAGAATCCACAAAAATAGAGTTTCAAAGCTGCTCTGTAAAAAGAAAGGTTCCACTCTGTTAGCTGAGTACACACATCACAAACCTGTTTCTCAGAATCCTTCTGTCTCGTTTTTATGGGAAGATATTTACTTTTCCACCGTAGGCATCAAAGCGCTCCAAATGTCCACATCCAGATACTCCAGAACGAGTGTTTCAAACCTGCTCTATGAAAGAGAATCTTCAACTCTATGAGTTGAATGCAGACATCAGAAAGAAATTTCTGAGAATGCTGCTGTCTACTTTTTATTTGAATCCCCGCTTCCAACGAAATCCTCCAAGCTATCCAAATATCCACCTGCATTTTCCACAAAAAGAGTGTTTCAAAACTGCTCTATCAATAGAAATGTTCAACTCCTTTAGCTGGGTAGACACAGCACAAACAAGTTTCTGAGAATGCTTCTGTCTAGTTTTTATGGGAAGACATTCCCTTTTTCACCAAAGGCATCAAAGCGCTCCAAATGTCCACTTCCAGACACTACAAAAAGAGTGTTTCCAACGTGCTCTAAGAAACCGAATGTTCAACTCTGTGACTTGAATGCAGATATCACAAAGTAGTTTCTGAGAGTGCTTCTGTCTAGATTTAAGATGATGATATTCCCGTTTCCAACGAAATCATTAGAGCTATCCAAATATCCACTTACAGTTTCTACAAAAAGAGTGTTTCCAAACTGCTGCATCAAAAGAGAGGTTCCACTCTGTTAGCTGAGTACACACATCACAAACTTGTTTCTCAGAATCCTTCTGTCTCGTTTTTATGGGAAGATATTTACTTTTTCACCGTAGGCATCAAAGCGCTCCAAATGTCCACATCCAGATACTCCAGAAAGAGTGTTTCAAACCTCCTCTATGAAAGGGAATCTTCAACTCTATGAGTTGAATGCAGACATCAGAAAGAAATTTCTGAGAATGCTGCTGTCTACCTTTTATTTGAATTCCCGCTTCCAACGAAATCCTCCAAGCTATCCAAATATCCACTTGCAGATTCCACAAAAAGAGTGTTTCAAAACTGCTCTCTATCAATGGCAAAGTTCAACTCTGTTAGTTGAGGACACATATCACCAACAAGTTTCTGAGAATGCTTCTGTCTATCTTTTATGGGAAGATATTTCCTTTTTCACCGTAGGCGTCAAGGCGATCGAAATGTCCACTTCCACAAACTACAAAAAGAGTGTTTCAAACCTGCTCTATGAAAGGCCATGTTCATCTCTATGAGTCGAATGGAAATATCCGAAAGAAATTTCTGGGAATGCTGCTGTCTAGTTTTTATACGAATTCCCGCTTCCAACGAAATCCTCAAAGCAATCCAAATATCCACTTGCAGAATCCACAAAAAGAGTGTTTCAAAACTGCTCTATCAATAGAAAGGTTCAACTCTTTTAGTTGAGTACACACATCACAAACAAGTTTCTGAGAATGCTTCTGTCTGGCTTTTATTGGAAGACGTTTCCTTTTCACCAAAGGCATCAAAGCGCTCCAAATGTCCACTTCCAGATTCTTCCAAAAGAGTGTTTGAAACGTGCTCAAAGTAAGGGAATGTTCAACTCTGTGACTTGAATGCAGATATCACCAAGTAGTTTCTAATAGTGCTTCTGTCTAGATTTTAGATGATGATATTCCCGTTTCCAACGAAATCGTTAGAGCTATCCAAATATCCACTTACAGTTGCTACAGAAACAGTGTTTCCAAACTGCTGCATCAAAAGAAAGGTTCAACTCTGTTAGTTGAGGACACACGTCACAAAGAAGTTTGTGAGAATGCTTCTGTCTAGATTTTGTATGACGATATTCCCTTTTCCAACGATATCGTTAAAGCAATCTAAATATCAATTTGCAGAATCCACAAAAATAGAGTTTCAAAGCTGCTCTGTAAAAAGAAAGTTTCCACTCTGTTAGCTGAGTACACACATCACAAACTTGTTTCTGAGAATCCTTCTGTCTCGTTTTTCTGGGAAGATATTTACTTTTTCACCGTAGGCATCAAAGCGCTCCAAATGTCCACATCCAGATACTCCAGAAAGAGTGTTTCAAACCTGCTCTATGAAAGGGAATCTTCAACTACTATGAGTTGAATGCAGACATCAGAAAGAAATTTACTGAGAATGCTGCTGTCTACCTTTTATTTGAATTCCCGCTTCCAACGAAATCCTCCAAGCTATCCAAATATCCACTTGCAGATTCCACAAAAAGAGTGTTTCAAAACTGCTCTCTATCAATGGCAAAGTTCAACTCTGTTAGTTGAGGACACATATCACCAACAAGTTTCTGAGAATGCTTCTGTCTATTTTTTATGGGAAGATATTTCCTTTTTCACCGTAGGCGTCAAGGCGATCGAAATGTCCACTTCCACAAACTACAAAAAGAGTGTTTCAAACCTGCTCTATGAAAGGCCATGTTCATCTCTATGAATCGAATGGAAATATCCGAAAGAAATTTCTGGGAATGCTGCTGTCTAGTTTTTATACGAATTCCCGCTTCCAACGAAATCCTCAAAGCAATCCAAATATCCACTTGCAGAATCCACAAAAAGAGTGTTTCAAAACTGCTCTATCAATAGAAAGGTTCAACTCTTTTAGTTGAGTACACACATCACAAACAAGTTTCTGAGAATGCTTCTGTCTGGCTTTTATTGGAAGACGTTTCCTTTTCACCAAAGGCATCAAAGCGCTCCAAATGTCCACTTCCAGATTCTTCCAAAAGAGTGTTTGAAACGTGCTCAAAGTAAGGGAATGTTCAACTCTGTGACTTGAATGCCGATATCACCAAGTAGTTTCTAATAGTGCTTCTGTCTAGATTTTAGATGATGATATTCCCGTTTCAAATGAAATCGTTAGAGCTATCCAAATATCCACTTACAGTTTCTACAAAAAGAGTGTTTCCAAACTGCTGCATCAAAAGAAATGTTCAACTCTGTTAGTTGAGGACACACATCACAAAGAAGTTTCTGAGAATGCTTCTGTCTAGATTTTGTATGACGATATTCCCTTTTCCAACGATATCGTTAAAGGAATCTAAATATCCATTTGCAGAATCCACAAAAATAGAGTTTCAAAGCTGCTCTGTAAAAAGAAAGGTTCCACTCTGTTAGCTGAGTACACACATCACAAACTTGTTTCTCAGAATCCTTGCTGTCTACCTTTTATTTGAACTCCCGCTTCCAACGAAATCCTCCAAGCTATCCAAATATCCACTTGCATTTTCCACAAAAAGAGTGCTTCAAAACTGCTCTATCAATAAATGTTCAACTCCTTTAGCTGGGTGCACACATCACAAACAAGTTTCTGAGAATGCTTCTGTCTACTTTTTAAGGGAAGACATTTCCTTTTTCACCAAATGCATCAAAGCGCTCCAAATGTCCACTTCCAGATTCTACAAAAAGAGTGTTTCAAACCTGCTCTAAGTAAGGGAGTTTTCAACTCTGTGACTGGAATGCAGATATCACAAAGTAGTTTCTGAGACTGATTCTGTCGAGATTTTAGATGATGATATTCCCGTTTCCAACGAAATCATTAGAGCTATCCAAATATCCACTTACAGTTTCTACAAAAAGAGTGTTTCCAAACTACTGCATCAAAAGAGAGGTTCCACTCTGTTAGCTGAGTACACACATCACAAACTTGTTTCTCAGAATCCTTCTGTCTCGTTTTTATGGGAAGATATTTACTTTTTCACCGTAGGCATCAAAGCGCTCCAAATGTCCACATCCAGATACTACAGAAAGAGTATTTCAAACCTGCCCTATGAAAGGAAATGTTCAACTCTATGAGTTGAATGCAGAGATCAGAAAGAAATTTCTGAGAATGCTGCTGTCTACCTTTTATTTGAATTCCCGCTTCCAACGAAATCCTCCAAGCTATCCAAATATCCACTTGCAGATTCAGGAAAAAGAGTGTTTCAAAACTGCTCTCTATCAATGGCAAAGTTCAACTCTGTTAGTTGAGGACACATATCACCAACAAGTTTCTGAGAATGCTTCTGTCTATTTTTTATGGGAAGATATTTCCTTTTTCACGGTAGGCGTCAAGGCGATCGAAATGTCCACTTCCACAAACTACAAAAAGAGTGTTTCAAACCTGCTCTATGAAAGGCCATGTTAATCTCTATGAGTTGAATGGAAATATCCGAAAGAAATTTCTGGGAATGCTGCTGTCTAGTTTTTATATGAATTCCCGCTTCCAACGAAATCCTCAAAGCAATCCAAATATCCACTTGCAGAATCCACAAAAAGAGTGTTTCAAAACTGCTCTATCAATAGAAAGGTTCAACTCTTTTAGTTGAGTACACACATCACAAACAAGTTTCTGAGAATGCTTCTGTCTGGCTTTTATTGGAAGACGTTTCCTTTTCACCAAAGGCATCAAAGCGCTCCAAATGTCCACTTCCAGATTCTTCCAAAAGAGTGTTTCAAACGTGCTCGAAGTAAGGGAATGTTCTACTCTGTGACTTGAATGCAGATATCACCAAGTAGTTTCTAATAGTGCTTCTGTCTAGATTTTAGGTGATGATATTCCCGTTTCCAACGAAATCGTTAGAGCTATCCAAATATCCAGTTACAGTTTCTACCAAAAGGGTGTTTCCAAATTGCTGCATCAAAAGAAAGGTTCAACTCTGTTAGTTGAGGACACACATCACAAAGAAGTTTGTGAGAATACTTCTGTCTAGGATTTTGTATGACGGTATTCCCTTTTCCAACGATATCGTTAAAGCAATCTAAATATCAATTTGCAGAATCCACAACAATAGAGTTTCAAAGCTGCTCTGTAAAAAGAAAGGTTCCACTCTGTTAGCTGAGTACACACATCACAAACTTGTTTCTGAGAATCCTTCTGTCTCGTTTTTATGGGAAGATATTTACTTTTCCACCGTAGGCATCAAAGCGCTCCAAATATCCACATCCGGATACTCCAGAACGAGTGTTTCAAACCTGCTCTATGAAAGGGAATCTTCAACTCTATGAGTTGAATGCAGACATCAGAAAGAAATTTCTGAGAATGCTCCTGTCTACCTTTTATTTGAATTCCCGCTTCCAACGAAATCCTCCAAGCTATCCAAATATCCACTTGCATTTTCCACAAAAAGAGTGTTTCAAAACTGCTCTATCAATAGAAATGTTCAACTCCTTTAGCTGGGTACACACATCACAAACAAGTTTACTGAGAATGCTTCTGTCTAGTTTTTATGGGTAGACATTCCCTTTTTCACCAAAGGAATCAAAGCGCTCCAAATGTCCACTTCCAGACACTACAAAAAGAGTGTTTCAAACGTGCTCTAAGAAAGCGAATGTTCAACTCTGTGACTTGAATGCAGATATCACAAAGTAGTTTCTGAGAGGGCTTCTGTCTAGATTTTAGATGATGATATTCCCGTTTCCAACGAAATCATTAGAGCTATCCAAATATCCACTTACAGTTTCTACAAAAAGAGTGTTTCCAAACTGCTGCATCAAAAGAGAGGTTCCACTCTGTTAGCTGAGTACACACATCACAAACTTGTTTCTCAGAATCCTTACTGTCTCGTTTTTATGGGAAGATATTTACTTTCTCACCGTAGGCATCAAAGCGCTCCAAATGTCCACATCCAGATACTCCAGAAAGAGTGTTTCAAACCTGCTCTATGAAAGGGAATCTTCAACTCTATGAGTTGAATGCAGACATCAGAAAGAAATTTCTGAGAATGCTGCTGTCTACCTTTTATTTGAATTACCGCTTCCAACGAAATCCTCCAAGCTATCCAAATATCCACTTGCAGATTCCACAAAAAGAGTGTTTCAAAACTGCGCTCTATCAATGGCAAAGTTCAACTCTGTTAGTTGAGGACACATATCACCAACAAGTTTCTGAGAATGCTTCTGTCTATTGTTTATGGGAAGATATTTCCTTTTTCACCGTAGGCGTCAAGGCGATCGAAATGTCCACTTCCACAAACTACAAAAAGAGTGTTTCAAACCTGCTCTATGAAAGGCCATGTTCATCTCTATGAGTTGAATGGAAATATCCGAAAGAAATTTCTGGGAATGCTGCTGTCTAGTGTTTATACGAATTCCCGCTTCCAACGAAATCCTCAAAGCAATCCAAATATCCACTTGCAGAATCCACAAAAAGAGTGTTTCAAAACTGCTCTATCAATAGAAAGGTTCAACTCTTTTAGTTGAGTACACACATCACCAACAAGTTTGCTGAGAATGCTTTCTGTCTGGCTTTTATTGGAAGACGTTTCCTTTTCACCAAAGGCATCAAAGCGCTCCAAATGTCCACTTCCAGATTCTTCCAAAAGAGTGTTTCAAACGTGCTCAAAGTAAGGGAATGTTCAACTCTGTGACTTGAATGCAGATATCACCAAGTAGTTTCTAATAGTGCTTCTGTCTAGCATTTTAGATGATGATATTCCCGTTTCCAACGAAATCGTTAGAGCTATCCAAATATCCACTTACAGTTTCTACAAAAAGAGTGTTTCCAAACTGCTGCATCAAAAGAAAGGTTCAACTCTGTTAGTTGAGGACACACATCACAAAGAAGTTTGTGAGAATGCTTCTGTCTAGATTTTGTATGACCATATTCCCTTTTCCAGCGATATCATTAATGCAATCTAAATATCCATTTGCAGAATCCACAAAAATAGAGTTTCAAAGCTGCTCTGTAAAAAGAAAGGTTCCACTCTGTTAGCTGAGTACACACATCACAAACTTGTTTCTCAGAATCCTGCTGTCTACCTTTTATTTGAATTAACGCTTCCAACGAAATCCTCCAAGCTATCCAAATATCCACTTGCATTTTCCACAAAAAGAGTGTTTCAAAACTGCTCTATCAATAGAAATGTTCAACTCCTTTGGCTGGGTACACACATCACAAACAAGTTTCTGAGAATGCTTCTGTCTAGTTTTTATGGGAAGACGTTCCCTTTTTCACCAAAGCCATCAAAGCGCTCCAAATGTCCACTTCCAGACACTACAAAAAGACTGTTTCAAACGTGCTCTAAGAAAGCGAATGTTCAACTCTGTGACTTGAATGCAGATATCACAAAGTAGTTTCTGAGAGTGCTTCTGTCTAGATTTTAGATGATGATATTCCCGTTTCCAACGAAATCATTAGAGCTATCCAAATATCCACTTACAGTTTCTACAAAAAGAGTGTTTCCAAACTGCTGCATCAAAAGAGTGGTTCCACTCTGTTAGCTGAGTACACACATCACAAACTTGTTTCTCAGAATCCTTCTGTCTCGTTTTTATGGGAAGAGATTTACTTTTTCACCGTAGGCATCAAAGCGCTCCAAATGTCCACATCCAGATACTACAGAAAGAGTATTTCAAACCTGCTCTATGAAAGGGAAGGTTCAACTCTATGAGTTGAATGCAGACATCAGAAAGAAATTTCTGAGAATGCTGCTGTCTACCTTTTATTTGAATTCCCGCTTCCAACGAAATCCTCCAAGCTATCCAAATATCCACTTGCAGATTCCACAAAAAGAGTGTTTCAAAACTGCTCTCTATCAATGGCAAAGTTCAACTCTGTTAGTTGAGGACACATATCACCAACAAGTTTCTGAGAATGCTTCTGTCTATTTTTTATGGGAAGATAATTCCTTTTTCAGCGTAGGCGTCAAGGCGATCGAAATGTCCACTTCCACAAACTACAAAAAGTGTGTTTCAAACCTGCTCTATGAAAGGCCATGTTCATCTCTATGAGTTGAATGGAAATATCCGAAAGAAATTTCTGGGAATGCTGCTGTCTAGTTTTTATACGAATTCCCGCTTCCAACGAAATCCTCAAAGCAATCCAAATATCCACTTGCAGAATCCACAAAAAGAGTGTTTCAAAACTGCTCTATCAATAGAAAGGTTCAACCCTTTTAGTTGAGTACACACATCACAAACAAGTTTCTGAGAATGCTTCTGTCTGGCTTTTATTGGAAGACGTTTCCTTTTCACCAAAGGCATCAAAGCGCTCCAAATGTCCACTTCCAGATTCTTCCAAAAGAGTGTTTGAAACGTGCTCAAAGTAAGGGAATGTTCAACTCTGTGACTTGAATGCAGATATCACCAAGTAGTTTCTAATAGTGCTTCTGTCTAGATTTTAGATGATGATATTCCCGTTTCCAACGAAATCGTTAGAGCTATCCAAATATCCACTTACATTTTCTACAAAAACAGTGTTTCCAAACTGCTGCATCAAAAGAAAAGTTCAACTCTGTTAGTTGAGGACACACATCACAAAGAAGTTTGTGAGAATGCTTCTGTCCAGATTTTGTATGACGATATTCCCTTTTCCAACGATATCGTTAAAGCAATCTAAATATCAATTTCCAGAATCCACAAAAATAGAGTTTCAAAGCTGCTCTGTAAAAAGAAAGGTTCCACTCTGTTAGCTGAGTACACACATCACAAACTTGTTTCTGAGAATCCTTCTGTCTCGTTTTTCTGGGAAGATATTTACTTTTTCACCGTAGGCATCAAAGCGCTCCAAATGTCCACATCCAGATACTCCAGAAAGAGTGTTTCAAACCTGCTCTATGAAAGGGAATCTTCAACTCTGTGAGTTGAATGCAGACATCAGAAAGAAATTTCTGAGAATGCTGCTGTCTACCTTTTATTTGAATTCCCGCTTCCAACGAAATCCTCCAAGCTATCCAAATATCCACTTGCAGATTCCACAAAAAGAGTGTTTCAAAACTGCTCTCTATCAATGGCAAAGTTCAACTCTGTTAGTTGAGGACACATATCACCAACAAGTTTCTGAGAATGCTTCTGTCTATTTTTTATGGGAAGATAATTCCTTTTTCACCGTAGGCGTCAAGGCGATCAAAATGTCCACTTCCACAAACTACAAAAAGAGTGTTTCAAACCTGCTCTATGAAAGGCCATGTTCATCTCTATGAGTCGAATGGAAATATCCGAAAGAAATTTCTGGGAATGCTGCTGTCTAGTTTTTATATGAATTCCCGCTTCCAACGAAATCCTCAAAGCAATCCAAATATCCACTTGCAGAATCCACAAAAAGAGTGTTTCAAAACTGCGCTATCATTAGAAAGGTTCAACTCTTTTAGTTGAGTACACACATCACAAACAAGTTTCTGAGAATGCTTCTGTCTGGCTTTTATTGGAAGACGTTTCCTTTTCACCAAAGGCATCAAAGCGCTCCAAATGTCCACTTCCAGATTCTTCCAAAAGAGTGTTTCAAACGTGCTCAAAGTAAGGGAATGTTCAACTCTTTGACTTGAATGCAGATATCACCAAGTAGTTTCTAATAGTGCTTCTGTCTAGATTTTAGATGATGATATTCCCGTTTCCAACGAAATCGTTAGAGCTATCCAAATATCCACTTACAGTTTCTACAAAAAGAGTGTTTCAAAACTTCTCTATGAAAAGAAAGGTTCTACTCCTTTAGTTGAGGACACACATCACGAGTAAGTTTCTGAGAGTGCTTCTGTCCAGATTTTGTATGACGACATTCCCTTTTCCAACGATATCGTTAAAGCAATCTAAATATCAATTTGCAGAATCCACAAAAATAGAGTTTCAAAGCTGCTCTGTAAAAAGAAAGGTTCCACTCAGTTAGCTGAGTACACACATCACAAACTTGTTTCTGAGAATCCTTCTGTCTCGTTTTTATGGGAAGATATTTACTTTTCCACCGTAGGCATCAAAGCGCTCCAAATGTCCACATCCAGATACTCCAGAACGAGTGTTTCAAACCTGCTCTATGAAAGGGAATCTTCAACTCTATGAGTTGAATGCAGACATCAGAAAGAAATTTCTGAGAATTCTGCTATCTACCTTTTATTTGAATTCCCGCTTCCAACGAAATCCTCCAAGCTATCCAAATATCCACTTGCATTTTCCACAAAAAGAGTGTTTCAAAACTGCTCTATCAATAGAAATGTTCAACTCCTTTAGCTGGGTACACACATCACAAACAAGTTTCTGAGAATGCTTCTGTCTAGTTTTTATGGGAAGACATTCCCTTTTTCACCAAAGGCATCAAAGCGCTCCAAATGTCCACTTCCAGACACTACAAAAAGAGTGTTTCAAACGTGCTCTAAGAAAGCGAATGTTCAACTCTGTGACTTGAATGCAGATATCACAAAGTAGTTTCTGAGAGGGATTCCGTCTAGATTTTAGATGATGATATTCCCATTTCCAACGAAATCATTAGAGCTATCCAAATATCCACTTACAGTTTCTACAAAAAGAGTGTTTCCAAACTGCTGCATCAGAAGAGAGGTTCCACTCTGTTAGCTGAGTACACACATCACAAACTTGTTTCTGAGAATCCTTCTGTCTCGTTTTTCTGGGAAGATATTTACTTTTTCACCGTAGGCATCAAAGCGCTCCAAATGTCCACATCCAGATACTCCAGAAAGAGTGTTTCAAACCTGCTCTATGAAAGGGAATCTTCAACTCTATGAGTTGAATGCAGACATCAGAAAGAAATTTCTGAGAATGCTGCTGTCTAACTTTTATTTGAATTCCCGCTTCCAACGAAATCCTCCAAGCTATCCAAATATCCACTTGCAGATTCAGGAAAAAGAGTGTTTCAAAACTGCTCTCTATCAATGGCAAAGTTCAACTCTGTTAGTTGAGGACACATATCACCAACAAGTTTCTGAGAATGCTTCTGTCTATTTTTTATGGGAAGATATTTCCTTTTTCACCGTAGGCGTCAAGGCGATCGAAATGTCCACTTCCACAAACTACAAAAAGAGTGTTTCAAACCTGCTCTATGAAAGGCCATGTTCATCTCTATGAGTCGAATGGAAATATCCGAAAGAAATTTCTGGGAATGCTGCTGTCTAGTTTTTATACGAATTCCCGCTTCCAACGAAATCCTCAAAGCAATCCAAATATCCACTTGCAGAATCCACAAAAAGAGTGTTTCAAAACTGCTCTATCAATAGAAAGGTTCAACTCTTTTAGTTGAGTACACACATCACAAACAAGTTTCTGAGAATGCTTCTGTCTGGCTTTTATTGGAAGACGTTTCCTTTTCACCAAAGGCATCAAAGCGCTCCAAATGTCCACTTCCAGATTCTTCCAAAAGAGTGTTTCAAACGTGCTCAAAGTAAGGGAATGTTCAACTCTTTGACTTGAATGCAGATATCACCAAGTAGTTTCTAATAGTGCTTCTGTCTACATTTTAGATGATGATATTCCCGTTTCCAACGAAATCGTTAGAGCTATCCAAATATCCAGTTACAGTTTCTACCAAAAGGGTGTTTCCAAATTGCTGCATCAAAAGAAAGGTTCAACTCTGTTAGTTGAGGACACACATCACAAAGAAGTTTGTGAGAATGCTTTCTGTCTAGATTTTGTATGACCATATTCCCTTTTCCAACGATATCGTTAAAGCAATCTAAATATCAATTTGCAGAATCCACAAAAATAGAGTTTCAAAGCTGCTCTGTAAAAAGAAAGGTTCCACTCTGTTAGCTGAGTACACACATCACAAACTTGTTTCTGAGAATCCTTCTGTCTAGTTTTTATGGGAAGATATTTACTTTTCACCGTAGGTATCAAAGCGCCCCAAATGTCCACATCCAGATACTACAGAAAGAGTGTTTCAAACCTGCTCTATGAAAGGGAATCTTCAACTCTATGAGTTGAATGCAGACATCAGAAAGTAATTTCTGAGAATGCTGCTGTCTACCTTTTATTTGAATTCCCGCTTCCAAGGAAATCCTCCAAGCTATCGAAATATCCACTAGCATTTTCCACAAAAAGAGTGTTTCAAAACTGCTCTATCAATAGAAATGTTCAACTCCTTTAGCTGGGTACACACATCACAAACAAGTTTCTGAGAATGCTTCTGTCTAGTTTTTATGGGAAGACGTTCCCTTTTTCACCAAAGGCATCAATGCGCTCCAAATGTCCACTTCCAGACACTACAAAAAGAGTGTTTCCAACGTGCTCTAAGAAAGCGAATGTTCAACTCTGTGACTTGAATGCAGATATCACAAAGTAGTTTCTGAGAGTGCTTCTGTCTAGATTTAGATGATGATATTCCCGTTTCCAACGAAATCATTAGAGCTATCCAAATATCCACTTACAGTTTCTACAAAAAGAGTGTTTCCAAACTGCTGCATCAAAAGAGAGGTTCCACTCTGTTAGCTGAGTACACACATCACAAACTTGTTTCTCAGAATCCTTCTGTCTCGTTTTTATGGGAAGATATTTACTTTTCCACCGTAGGCATCAAAGCGCTCCAAATGTCCACATCCAGATACTCCAGAAAGAGTGTTTCAAACCTGCTCTATGAAAGGGAATCTTCAACTTTATGAGTTGAATGCAGACATCAGAAAGAAATTTCTGAGAATGCTGCTGTCTACCTTTTATTTGAATTCCCGCTTCCAACGAAATCCTCCAAGCTATCCAAATATCCACTTGCAGATTCCACAAAAAGAGTGTTTCAAAACTGCTCTCTATCAATGGCAAAGTTCAACTCTGTTAGTTGAGGACACATATCACCAACAAGTTTCTGAGAATGCTTCTGTCTATTTTTTATGGGAAGATATTTCCTTTTTCACCGTAGGCGTCAAGGCGATCGAAATGTCCACTTCCACAAACTACAAAAAGAGTGTTTCAAACCTGCTCTATGAAAAGCCATGTTCATCTCTATGAGTTGAATGGAAATATCCGAAAGAAATTTCTGGGAATGCTGCTGTCTAGTTTTTATACGAATTCCCGCTTCCAACGAAATCCTCAAAGCAATCCAAATATCCACTTGCAGAATCCACAAAAAGAGTGTTTCAAAACTGCTCTATCAATAGAAAGGTTCAACTCTTTTAGTTGAGTACACACATCACAAACAAGTTTCTGAGAATGCTTCTGTCTGGCTTTTATTGGAAGACGTTTCCTTTTCACCAAAGGCATCAAAGCGCTCCAAATGTCCACTTCCAGATTCTTCCAAAAGAGTGTTTGAAACGTGCTCAAAGTAAGGGAATGTTCAACTCTGTGACTTGAATGCAGATATCACCAAGTAGTTTCTAATAGTGCTTCTGTCTAGATTTTAGATGACGATATTCCCGTTTCCAACGAAATCGTTAGAGCTATCCAAATATCCACTTACAGTTTCTACCAAAAGGGTGTTTCCAAACTGCTGCATCAAAAGAAAGGTTCAACTCTGTTAGTTGAGGACACACATCACAAAGAAGTTTGTGAGAATGCTTCTGTCTAGATTTTGTATGACCATATTCCCTTTCCCAGCGATATCATTAAAGCAATCTAAATATCCATTTGCAGAATCCACAAAAATAGAGTTTCAAAGCTGCTCTGTAAAAAGAAAGGTTCCACTCTGTTAGCTGAGTACACACATCACAAACTTGTTTCTGAGAATCCTTATGTCTCGTTTTTATGGGAAGATACTTACTTTTCCACCGTAGGCATCAAAGCGCTCCAAATGTCCACATCCAGATACTCCAGAACGAGTGTTTCAAACCTGCTCTATGAAAGGGAATCTTCAACTCTATGAGTTGAATGCAGACATCAGAAAGAAATTTCTGAGAATGCTGCTGTCTACCTTTTATTTGAACTCCCGCTTCCAACGAAATCCTCCAAGCTATCCAAATATCCACTTGCATTTTCCACAAAAAGAGTGCTTCAAAACTGCTCTATCAATAGAAATGTTCAACTCCTTTAGCTGGGTGCACACATCACAAACAAGTTTCTGAGAATGCTTCTGTCTAGTTTTTATGGGAAGACGTTCCCTTTTTCACCAAAGGCATCAAAGCGCTCCAAATGTCCACTTCCAGACACTACAAAAAGAGTGTTTCCAGCGTGCTCTAAGAAAGCGAATGTTCAACTCTGTGACTTGAATGCAGATATCACAAAGTAGTTTCTGAGAGGGCTTCTGTCTAGATTTTAGATGATGATATTCCCGTTTCCAACGAAATCATTAGAGCTATCCAAATAACCACTTACAGTTTCTACAAAAAGAGTGTTTCCAAACTGCTGCATCAAAAGAGAGGTTCCACTCTGTTAGCTGAGTACACACATCACAAACTTGTTTCTCAGAATCCTGCTGTCTACCTTTTATTTGAATTCCCGCTTCCAACGAAATCCTCCAAGCTATCCAAATATCCACTTGCATTTTCCACAAAAAGAGTGTTTCAAAACTGCTCTATCAATAGAAATGTTCAACTCCTTTGGCTGGGTACACACATCACAAACAAGTTTCTGAGAATGCTTCTGTCTAGTTTTTATGGGAAGACGTTCCCTTTTTCACCAAAGGCATCAAAGCGCTCCAAATGTCCACTTCCAGACACTACAAAAAGAGTGTTTCCAACGTGCTCTAAGAAAGCGAATGTTCAACTCTGTGACTTGAATGCAGATATCACAAAGTAGTTTCTGAGAGGGCTTTCTGTCTAGATTTTAGATGATGATATTCCCGTTTCCAAAAAAATCTTTAGAGCTATCCAAATATCCACTTACAGTTTCTACAAAAAGAGTGTTTCCAAACTGCTGCATCAAAAGAGAGGTTCCACTCTGTTAGCTGAGTACACACATCACAAACTTGTTTCTCAGACTCCTGCTGTCTACCTTTTATTTGAATTCCCGCTTCCAAGGAAAATCCTCCAAGCTATCGAAATATCCACTAGCATTTTCCACAAAAAGAGTGTTTCAAAACTGCTCTATCAATAGAAACGTTCAACTCCTTTAGCTGGGTACACACATCACAAACAAGTTTCTGAGAATGCTTCTGTCTAGTTTTTATGGGTAGACATTCCCTTTTTCACCAAAGGAATCAAAGCGCTCCAAATGTCCACTTCCAGCCACTACAAAAAGAGTGTTTCAAACGTGCTCTAAGAAAGCGAATGTTCAACTCTGTGACTTGAATGCAGATATCACAAAGTAGTTTCTGAGAGGGCTTCTGTCTAGATTTTAGATGATGATATTCCCGTTTCCAACGAAATCATTAGAGCTATCCAAATATCCACTTACAGTTTCTACAAAAAGAGTGTTTCCAAACTGCTGCATCAAAAGAGAGGTTCCACTCTGTTAGCTGAGTACGCCCATCACAAACTTGTTTCTCAGAATCCTTCTGTCTCGTTATTATGGGAAGATATTTACTTTTCCACCGTAGGCATCAAAGCGCTCCAAATGTCCACATCCAGATACTCCAGAACGAGTGTTTCAAACCTGCTCTATGAAAGGGAATCTTCAACTCTATGAGTTGAATGCAGACATCAGAAAGAAATTTCTGAGAATGCTGCTGTCTACCTTTTATTTGAATTCCCGCTTCCAACGAAATCCTCCAAGCTATCCAAATATCCACTTGCAGATTCCACAAAAAGAGTGTTTCAAAACTGCTCTCTATCAATGGCAAAGTTCAACTCTGTTAGTTGAGGACACATATCACCAACAAGTTTCTGAGAATGCTTCTGTCTATTTTTTATGGGAAGATATTTCCTTTTTCACCGTAGGCGTCAAGGCGATCGAAATGTCCACTTCCACAAACTACAAAAAGAGTGTTTCAAACCTGCTCTATGAAAGGCGATGTTCATCTCTATGAGTTGAATGGAAATATCCGAAAGAAATTTCTGGGAATGCTGGCTGTCTAGTTTTTATATGAATTCCCGCTTCCAACGAAATCCTCAAAGCAATCCAAATATCCACTTGCAGAATCCACAAAAAGAGTGTTTCAAAACTGCTCTATCAATAGAAAGGTTCAACTCTTTTAGTTGAGTACACACATCACCAACAAGTTTCTGAGAATGCTTCTGTCTGGCTTTTATTGGAAGACGTTTCCTTTTCACCAAAGGCATCAAAGCGCTCCAAATGTCCACTTCCAGATTCTTCCAAAAGAGTGTTTCAAACGTGCTCGAAGTAAGGGAATGTTCTACTCTGTGACTTGAATGCAGATAACACCAAGTAGTTTCTAATAGTGCTTCTGTCTAGATTTTAGATGATGATATTCCCGTTTCCAACGAAATCGTTAGAGCTATCCAAATATCCACTTACAGTTTCTACCAAAAGGGTGTTTCCAAATTGCTGCATCAAAAGAAAGGTTCAACTCTGTTAGTTGAGGACACACATCACAAAGAAGTTTGTGAGAATGCTTCTGTCTAGATTTTGTATGAAGATATTCCCTTTTCCAACGATATCGTTAAAGCAATCTAAATATCCATTTGCAGAATCCACAAAAATAGAGTTTCAAAGCTGCTCTGTAAAAAGAAAGGTTCCACTCTGTTAGCTGAGTACACACATCACAAACTTGTTTCTCAGAATCCTTCTGTCTCGTTTTTATGGGAAGATATTTACTTTTCCACCGTAGGCATCAAAGCGCTCCAAATGTCCACATCCAGATACTCCAGAAAGAGTGTTTCAAACCTGCTCTATGAAACGGAATCTTCAACTCTATGAGTTGAATGCAGACATCAGAAAGAAATTTCTGAGAATGCTGCTGTCTACCTTTTATTTGAATTCCCGCTTCCAACAAAAACCTCCAAGCTATCCAAATATCCACTTGCAGATTCCACAAAAAGAGTGTTTCAAAACTGCTCTATCAATAGAAATGTTCAACTCCTTTCGCTGGGTACACACATCACAAACAAGTTTCTGAGAATGCTTCTGTCTAGTTTTTATGGGTAGACATTCCCTTTTTCACCAAAGGAATCAAAGCGCTCCAAATGTCCACTTCCAGACACTACAAAAAGAGTGTTTCAAACGTGCTCTAAGAAAGCGAATGTTCAACTCTGTGACTTGAATGCAGATATCACACAGTGGTTTCTGAGAGTGCTTCTGTCTAGATTTTAGATGATGATATTCCCGTTTCCAACGAAATCATTAGAGCTATCCAAATATCCACTTACAGTTTCTACAAAAAGAGTGTTTCCAAACTGCTGCATCAGAAAAGAGGTTCCACTCTGTTAGCTGAGTACACACATCACAAACTTGTTTCTGAGAATCCTTTCTGTCTCGTTTTTATGGGAAGATATTTACTTTTTCACCGTAGGCATCAAAGCGCTCCAAATGTCCACATCCAGATACTCCAGAAAGAGTGTTTCAAACCTGCTCTATGAAAGGGAATCTTCAACTCTATGAGTTGAATGCAGACATCAGAAAGAAATTTCTGAGAATGCTGCTGTCTACCTTTTATTTGAATTCCCGCTTCCAACGAAATCCTCCAAGCTATCCAAATATCCACTTGCAGATTCCACAAAAAGAGTGTTTCAAAACTGCTCTCTATCAATGGCAAAGTTCAACTCTGTTAGTTGAGGACACATATCACCAACAAGTTTATGAGAATGCTTCTGTCTATTTTTTATGGGAAGATATTTCCTTTTTCACCGTAGGCGTCAAGGCGATCGAAATGTCCACTTCCACAAACTACAAAAAGAGTGTTTCAAACCTGCTCTATGAAAGGCCATGTTCATCTCTATGAGTCGAATGGAAATATCCGAAAGAAATTTCTGGGAATGCTGCTGTCTAGTTTTTATACGAATTCCCGCTTCCAACGAAATCCTCAAAGCAATCCAAATATCCACTTGCAGAATCCACAAAAAGAGTGTTTCAAAACTGCTCTATCAATAGAAAGGTTCAACTCTTTTAGTTGAGTACACACATCACAAACAAGTTTCTGAGAATGCTTCTGTCTGGCTTTTATTGGAAGACGTTTCCTTTTCACCAAAGGCATCAAAGCGCTCCAAATGTCCACTTCCAGATTCTTCCAAAAGAGTGTTTGAAACGTGCTCAAAGTAAGGGAATGTTCAACTCTGTGACTTGAATGCAGATATCACCAAGTAGTTTCTAATAGTGCTTCTGTCTAGATTTTAGATGACGATATTCCCGTTTCCAACGAAATCGTTAGAGCTATCCAAATATCCACTTACAGTTGCTACAAAAACAGTGTTTCCAAACTGCTGCATCAAAAGAAAGGTTCAACTCTGTTAGTTGAGGACACACGTCACAAAGAAGTTTGTGAGAATGCTTCTGTCTAGATTTTGTATGACGATATTCCCTTTTCCAACGATATCGTTAAAGCAATCTAAATATCAATTTGCAGAATCCACAAAAGTAGAGTTTCAAAGCTGCTCTGTAAAAAGAAAGGTTCCACTCTGTTAGCTGAGTATACACATCACAAACTTGTTTCTGAGAATCCTTCTGTCTCGTTTTTATGGGAAGATATTTACTTTTTCACCGTAGGCATCAAAGCGCTCCAAATGTCCACATCCAGATACTCCAGAGTGTTTCAAACCTGCTCTATGAAAGGGAATCTTCAACTCTATGAGTTGAATGCAGACATCAGAAAGAAATTTCTGAGAATGCTGCTGTCTACCTTTTATTTGAATTCCCGCTTCCAACGAAATCCTCCAAGCTATCCAAATATCCACTTGCAGATTCCACAAAAAGAGTGTTTCAAAACTGCTCTCTATCAATGGCAAAGTTCAACTCTGTTAGTTGAGGACACATATCACCAACAAGTTTCTGAGAATGCTTCTGTCTATTTTTTATGGGAAGATATTTCCTTTTTCACCGTAGGCGTCAAGGCGATCGAAATGTCCACTTCCACAAACTACAAAAAGAGTGTTTCAAACCTGCTCTATGAAAGGCCATGTTCATCTCTATGAGTCGAATGGAAATATCCGAAAAAATTTCTGGGAATGCTGCTGTCTAGTTTTTATACGAATTCCCGCTTCCAACGAAATCCTCAAAGCAATCCAAATATCCACTTGCAGAATCCACAAAAAGAGTGTTTCAAAACTGCTCTATCAATAGAAAGGTTCAACTCTTTTAGTTGAGTACACACATCACAAACAAGTTTCTGAGAATGCTTCTGTCTGGCTTTTATTGGAAGACGTTTCCTTTTCACCAAAGGCATCAAAGCGCTGCAAATGTCCACTTCCAGATTCTTCCAAAAGAGTGTTTCAAACGTGCTCAAAGTAAGGGAATGCTCAACTCTGTGACTTGAATGCAGATATCAACAAGTAGTTTCTAATAGTGCTTCTGTCTACATTTTAGATGATGATATTCCCGTTTCCAACGAAATCGTTAGAGCTATCCAAATATCCAGTTACAGTTTCTACCAAAAGGGTGCTTCCAAATTGCTGCATCAAAAGACAGGTTCAACTCTGTTAGTTGAGGACACACATCACAAAGAAGTTTGTGAGAATGCTTCTGTCTAGATTTTGTATGACGATATTCCCTTTTCCAACGATATCATTAAAGCAATCTAAATATCCATTTGCAGAATCCACAAAAATAGAGTTTCAAAGCTGCTCTGTAAAAAGAAAGGTTCCACTCTGTTAGCTGAGTACACACATCACAAACTTGTTTCTCAGAATCCTTCTGTCTCGTTTTTATGGGAAGATATTTACTTTTTACCGTAGGCATCAAAGCGCTCCAAATGTCCACATCCAGATACTCCAGAAAGAGTGTTTCAAACCTGCTCTATGAAAGGGAATCTTCAACTCTATGAGTTGAATGCAGACATCAGAAAGAAATTTCTGAGAATGCTGCTGTCTACCTTTAATTTGAATTCCCGCTTCCAACGAAATCCTCCAAGCTATCCAAATATCCACTTGCAGATTCCACAAAAAGAGTGTTTCAAAACTGCTCTCTATCAATGGCAAAGTTCAACTCTGTTAGTTGAGGACACATATCACCAACAAGTTTCTGAGAATGCTTATCTGTCTATTTTTTATGGGAAGATATTTCCTTTTTCACCGTAGGCGTCAAGGCGATCGAAATGTCCACTTCCACAAACTACAAAAAGAGTGTTTCAAACCTGCTCTATGAAAGGCCATGTTCATCTCTATGAGTTGAATGGAAATATCCGAAAGAAATTTCTGGGAATGCTGCTGTCTAGTTTTTATATGAATTCCCGCTTCCAACGAAATCCTCAAAGCAATCCAAATATCCACTTGCAGAATCCACAAAAAGAGTGTTGCAAAACTGCTCTATCAATAGAAAGGTTCAACTCTTTTAGTTGAGTACACACATCACAAACAAGTTTCTGAGAATGCTTCTGTCTGGCTTTTATTGGAAGACGTTTCCTTTTCACCAAAGGCATCAAAGCGCTCCAAATGTCCACTTCCAGATTCTTCCAAAAGAGTGTTTGAAACGTGCTCAAAGTAAGGGAATGTTCAACTCTGTGACTTGAATGCAGATATCACCAAGTAGTTTCTAATAGTGCTTCTGTCTAGATTTTAGATGATGATATTCCCGTTTCCAACGAAATCGTTAGAGCTATCCAAATATCCACTTACAGTTTCTACCAAAAGGGTGTTTCCAAATTGCTGCATCAAAAGAAAGGTTCAACTCTGTTAGTTGAGGACACACATCACAAAGAAGTTTGTGAGAATGCTTCTGTCTAGATTTTAGATGATGATATTCCCGTTTCCAACGAAATCGTTAGAGCTATCCAAATATCCACTTACAGTTTCTACAAAAAGAGTGTTTCCAAACTGCTGGATCAAAAGAGAGGTTCCACTCTGTTAGCTGAGTACACACATCACAAACTTGTTTCTCAGAATCCTGCTGTCTACCTTTTATTTGAATTCCCGCTTCCAACGAAATCCTCCAAGCTATCCAAATATCCACTTGCAGATTCCACAAAAAGAGTGTTTCAAAACTGCTCTCTATCAATGGCAAAGTTCAACTCTGTTAGTTGAGGACACATATCACCAACAAGTTTCTGAGAATGCTCTGTCTATTGTTTATGGGAAGATATTTCCTTTTTCACCGTAGGCGTCAAGGCGATCGAAATGTCCACTTCCACAAACTACAAAAAGAGTGTTTCAAACCTGCTCTATGAAAGGCGATGTTCATCTCTATGAGTTGAATGGAAATATCCGAAAGAAATTTCTGGGAATGCTGGCTGTCTAGTTTTTATATGAATTCCCGCTTCCAACGAAATCCTCAAAGCAATCCAAATATCCACTTGCAGAATCCAGAAAAAGAGTGTTTCAAAACTGCTCTATCAATAGAAAGGTTCAACTCTTTTAGTTGAGTACACACATCACGAACAAGTTTCTGAGAATGCTTCTGTCTGGCTTTTATTGGAAGACGTTTCCTTTTCACCAAAGGCATCAAAGCGCTCCAAATGTCCACTTCCAGATTCTTCCAAAAGAGTGTTTCAAACGTGCTCGAAGTAAGGGAATGTTCTACTCTGTGATTTGAATGCAGATATCACCAAGTAGTTTCTAATAGTGCTTCTGCCTACATTTTAGATGATGATATTCCCTTTTCCAACGAAATCGTTAGAGCTATCCAAATATCCAGTTACAGTTTCTACCAAAAGGGTGTTTCCAAATTGCTGCATCAAAAGAAAGGTTCAACTCTGTTAGTTGAGGACACACATCACAAAGAAGTTTGTGAGAATGCTTCTGTCTAGATTTTGTATGACGGTATTCCCTTTTCCAACGATATCGTTAAAGCAATCTAAATATCAATTTGCAGAATCCACAACAATAGAGTTTCAAAGCTGCTCTGTAAAAAGAAAGGTTCCACTGTGTTAGCTGAGTACACACATTACAAACTTGTTTCTGAGAATCCTTCTGTCTCGTTTTTATGGGAAGATATTTACTTTTTAACCGTAGGCATCAAAGCGCTCCAAATGTCCACATCCAGATACTCCAGAAAGAGTGTTTCAAACCTGCTCTATGAAAGGGAATCTTCAACTCTATGAGTTGAATGCAGACATCAGAAAGAAATTTCTGAGAATGCTGCTGTCTACCTTTTATTTGAATTCCCTCTTCCAACGAAATCCTCCAAGCTATCCAAATATCCACTTGCATTTTCCACAAAAAGAGTGTTTCAAAACTGCTCTATCAATAGAAATGTTCAACTCCTTTAGCTGGGTACACACATCACAAACAAGTTTCTGAGAATGCTTCTGTCTAGTTTTTATGGGAAGACATTCCCTTTTTCACCAAAGGCATCAAAGCGCTCCAAATGTCCACTTCCAGACACTACAAAAAGAGGGTTTCAAACGTGCTCTAAGAAAGCGAATATTCAACTCTGTGACTTGAATGCAGATATCACAAAGTAGTTTCTGAGAGGGCTTCTGTCTAGATTTTAGATGATGATATTCCCGTTTCCAACGAAATCATTAGAGCTATCCAAATATCCCCTTACAGTTTCTACAAAAAGAGTGTTTCCAAACTGCTGCATCAAAAGAGAGGTTCCACTCTGTTAGCTGAGTACACACATCACAAACTTGTTTCTCAGAATCCTTCTGTCTCGTTTTTATGGGAAGATATTTACTTTTTCACCGTAGGCATCAAAGCGCTCCAAATGTCCACATCCAGACACTCCAGAAAGAGTGTTTCAAACCTGCTCTATGAAAGGGAATCTTCAACTCTATGAGTTGAATGCAGACATCAGAAAGAAATTTCTGAGAATGCTGCTGTCTACCTTTTATTTGAATTCCCGCTTCCAACGAAATCCTCCAAGCTATCCAAATATCCACTTGCAGATTCCACAAAAAGAGTGTTTCAAAACTGCTCTCTATCAATGGCAAAGTTCAACTCTGTTAGTTGAGGACACATATCACCAACAAGTTTCTGAGAATGCTCCTGTCTATTTTTTATGGGAAGATATTTCCTTTTTCACCGTAGGCGTCAAGGCGATCGAAATGTCCACTTCCACAAACTACAAAAAGAGTGTTTCAAACCTGCTCTATGAAAGGCCATGTTCATCTCTATGAGTTGAATGGAAATATCCGAAAGAAATTTCTGGGAATGCTGCTGTCTAGTTTTTATACGAATTCCCGCTTCCAACGAAATCCTCAAAGCAATCTAAATATCCACTTGCAGAATCCACAAAAAGAGTGTTTCAAAACTGCTCTATCAATAGAAAGGTTCAACTCTTTTAGTTGAGTACACACATCACAAACAAGTTTCTGAGAATGCTTCTGTCTGGCTTTTATTGGAAGACGTTTCCTTTTCACCAAAGGCATCAAAGCGCTCCAAATGTCCACTTCCAGATTCTTCCAAAAGAGTGTTTGAAACGTGCTCAAAGTAAGGGAATGTTCAACTCTGTGACTTGAATGCAGATATCACCAAGTAGTTTCTAATAGTGCTTCTGTCTAGATTTTAGATGATGATATTCCCGTTTCCAACGAAATCGTTAGAGCTATCCAAATATCCCCTTACAGTTTCTACAAAAAGAGTGTTTCCAAACTGCTGCATCAAAAGAAAGGTTCAACTCTGTTAGTTGAGGACACACATCACAAAGAAGTTTGTGAGAATGCTTCTGTCTAGATTTTGTATGAAGATATTCCCTTTTCCAACGATATTGTTAAATCAACCCAAATATCAATTTGCAGAATCCACAGAAATAGAGTTTCAAAGCTGCTCTTTAAAAAGAAAGGATCCACTCTGTTAGCTGAGTACACACATCACAAACTTGTTTCTGAGAATCCTTCTGTCTCGTTTTTATGGGAAGATATTTACCTTTTCACCGTAGGCATCAAAGCGCTCCATATGTCCACATCCAGATACTCCACAAAGAGTGTTTCAAACCTGCTCTATGAAAGGGAATCTTCAACTCTATGAGTTGAATGCAGACATCAGAAAGAAATTTCTGAGAATGCTGCTGTCTACCTTTTATTTGAATTCCCGCTTCCAACGAAATCCTCCAAGCTATCCAAATATCCACCTGCATTTTCCACAACAAGAGTGTTTCAAAACTGCTCTATCAATAGAAATCTTCAACTCCTTTGGCTGGGTACACACATCACAAACAAGTTTCTGAGAATGCTTCTGTCTAGTTTTTATGGGAAGACGTTCCCTTTTTCACCAAAGGCATCAAAGCGCTCCAAATGTCCACTTCCAGACACTACAAAAAGAGTGTTTCAAACGTGCTCTTAGAAAGCGAATGTTCAACTCTGTGACTTGAATGCAGATATCACAAAGTAGTTTCTGAGAGGGCTTCTGTCTAGATTTTAGATGATGATATTCCCGTTTCCAACGAAATCATTAGAGCTATCCAAATATCCACTTACAGTTTCTACAAAAAGAGTGTTTCCAAACTGCTGCATGAAAAGAGAGGTTCCACTCTGTTAGCTGAGAACACACATCACAAACTTGTTTCTGAGAATCCTTCTGTCTAGCTTTTATGGGAAGATATTTACTTTTCCACCGTAGGCATCAAAGCGTTCCAAATGTCCACATCTAGATAGTACAGAAAGAGTGTTTCAAACCTGCTCTATGAAAGGGAATGTTCAACTCTATGAGTTGAATGCAAACATCACAAAGAAATTTCTGAGAATGCTGCTGTCTACCTTTTATTTGAATTCCCGCTTCCAACGAAATCCTCCAGGCTATCCAAATATCCACTTGCAGATTCCACAAAAACAGTGTTTCTAAACTGCTCTATCAATGGCAAGGTTCAACTCTGTCAGTTGAGGATACACATCACAAACAAGTTTCTGAGAATTCTTCTGTCTATTTTTTATGGGAAGATATTTCCTTTTTCACCGTAGGCGTCAAGGCGATCGAAATGTCCACTTCCACAAACTACAAAAAGAGTGTTTCAAACCTGCTCTATGAAAGGCCATGTTCATCTCTATGAGTCGAATGGAAATATCCGAAAGAAATTTCTGGGAATGCTGCTGTCTAGTTTTTATACGAATTCCCGCTTCCAACGAAATCCTCAAAGCAATCCAAATATCCACTTGCAGAATCCACAAAAAGAGTGTTTCAAAACTGCTCTATCAATAGAAAGGTTCAACTCTTTTAGTTGAGTACACACATCACAAACAAGTTTCTGAGAATGCTTCTGTCTGGCTTTTTTTGGAAGACGTTTCCCTTTTCACCAAAGGCATCAAAGCGCTCCAAATGTCCACTTCCAGATTCTTCCAAAAGAGTGTTTGAAACGTGCTCAAAGTAAGGGAATGTTCAACTCTGTGACTTGAATGCAGATATCACCAAGTAGTTTCTAATAGTGCTTCTGTCTAGATTTTAGATGATGATATTCCCGTTTCCAACGAAATCGTTAGAGCTATCCAAATATCCACTTACAGTTGCTACAAAAACAGTGTTTCCAAACTGCTGCATCAAAAGAAAGGTTCAACTCTGTTAGTTGAGGACACACATCACAAAGAAGTTTGTGAGAATGCTTCTGTCTAGATTTTGTATGACGATATTCCCTTTTCCAACGATATCGTTAAAGCAATCTAAATATCAATTTGCAGAATCCACAAAAACAGAGTTTCAAAGCTGCTCTGTAAAAAGAAAGGTTCCACTCTGTTAGCTGAGTACACACATCACAAACTTGTTTCTGAGAATCCTTCTGTTTCGTTTTTATGGGAAGATATTTACTTTTCCACCGTAGGCATCAAAGCGCTCCAAATGTCCACATCCAGATACTCCAGAACGAGTGTTTCAAACCTGCTCTATGAAAGGGAATCTTCAACTCTATGAGTTGAATGCAGACATCAGAAAGAAATTTCTGAGAATGCTGCTGTCTACCTTTTATTTGAATTCCCGCTTCCAACGAAATCCTCCAAGCTATCCAAATATCCACCTGCATTTTCCACAACAAGAGTGTTTCAAAACTGCTCTATCAATAGAAATGTTCAACTCCTTTTGCTGGGTACACACATCACAAACAAGTTTCTGAGAATGCTTCTGTCTAGTTTTTATGGGAAGACATTCCCTTTTTCACCAAAGGCATCAAAGCGCTCCAAATGTCCACTTCCTGACACTACGAAAAGAGTGTTTCAAACGTGCTCTAGGAAACCGAATGTTCAACTCTGTTACTTGAATGCAGATATCACAAAGTAGTTTCTGAGAGGGCTTCTGTCTAGGTTTTAGATGATGATATTCCCGTTTCCAACGAAATCATTAGAGCTATCCAAATATCCACTTACAGTTTCCACAAAAAGAGTGTTTCCAAACTGCTGCATCAAAAGAGAGGTTCCACTCTGTTAGCTGAGTACACACATCACAAACTTGTTTCTGAGAATCCTTCTGTCTCGTTTTTATGGGAAGATATTTACTTTTTCACCGTAGGCATCAAAGCGCTCCAAATGTCCACATCCAGATACTCCAGAAAGAGTGTTTCAAACCTGCTCTATGAAAGGGAATCTTCAACTCTATGAGTTGAATGCAGACATCAGAAAGAAATTTCTCAGAATGCTGCTGTCTAGCTTTTATTTGAATTCCCGCTTCCAACGAAAAACTCCAAGCTATCCAAATATCCACTTGCAGATTCCACAAAAAGAGTGTTTCAAAACTGCTCTATCAATAGAAATGTTCAACTCCTTTCGCTGGGTACACAGATCACAAACAAGTTTCTGAGAATGCTTCTGTCTAGTTTTTATGGGAAGACATTCCCTTTTTCACCAAAGGCATCAAAGCGCTCCAAATGTCCACTTCCAGACACTACAAAAAGAGTGTTTCCAACGTGCTCTACGAAAGCGAATGTTCAACTCTGTGACTTGAATGCAGATATCACAAAGTAGTTTCTGAGAGGGCTTCTGTCTAGATTTTAGATGATGATATTCCCGTTTCCAACGAAATCATTAGAGCTATCCAAATATCCACTTACAGTTTCTACAAAAAGAGTGTTTCCAAACTGCTGGATCAAAAGAGAGGTTCCACTCTGTTAGCTGAGTACACACATCACAAACTTGTTTCTCAGAATCCTTCTGTCTCGTTTTTCTGGGAAGATATTTACTTTTTCACCGTAGGCATCAAAGCGCTCCAAATGTCCACATCCAGATACTCCAGAAAGAGTGTTTCAAACCTGCTCTATGAAAGGGAATCTTCAACTCTATGAGTTGAATGCAGACATCAGAAAGAAATTTCTGAGAATGCTGCTGTCTACCTTTTATTTGAATTCCCGCTTCCAACGAAATCCTCCAAGCTATCCAAATATCCACTTGCAGATTCCACAAAAAGAGTGTTTCAAAACTGCTCTCTATCAATGGCAAAGTTCAACTCTGTTAGTTGAGGACACATATCACCAACAAGTTTCTGAGAATGCTCTGTCTATTGTTTATGGGAAGATATTTCCTTTTTCACCGTAGGCGTCAAGGCGATCGAAATGTCCACTTCCACAAACTACAAAAAGAGTGTTTCAAACCTGCTCTATGAAAGGCCATGTTCATCTCTATGAGTTGAATGGAAATATCCGAAAGAAATTTCTGGGAATGCTGGCTGTCTAGTTTTTATACGAATTCCCGCTTCCAACGAAATCCTCAAAGCAATCCAAATATCCACTTGCAGAATCCACAAAAAGAGTGTTTCAAAACTGCTCTATCAATAGAAAGGTTCAACTCTTTTAGTTGAGTACACACATCACAAACAAGTTTCTGAGAATGCTTCTGTCTGGCTTTTATTGGAAGACGTTTCCTTTTCACCAAAGGCATCAAAGCGCTCCAAATGTCCACTTCCAGATTCTTCCAAAAGAGTGTTTGAAACGTGCTCAAAGTAAGGGAATGTTCAACTCTGTGACTTGAATGCAGATATCACCAAGTAGTTTCTAATAGTGCTTCTGTCTAGATTTTAGATGATGATATTCCCGTTTCCAACGAAATCGTTAGAGCTATCCAAATATCCACTTACAGTTTCTACAAAAAGAGTGTTTCCAAACTGATGCATCAAAAGAAAGGTTCAACTCTGTTAGTTGAGGACACACATCACAAAGAAGTTTGTGAGAATGCTTCTCTCTAGATTTTGTATGAAGATATTCCCTTTTCCAAAGATATCGTTAAATCAACCCAAATATCAATTTGCAGAATCCACAGAAATAGAGTTTCAAAGCTGCTCTGTAAAAAGAAAGGATCCACTCTGTTAGCTGAGTACACACATCACAAACATGTTTCTGAGAATCCTTCTGTCTCGTTTTTATGGGAAGATATTTACTTTTCCACCGTAGGCATCAAAGCGCTCCAAATGTCCACATCCAGATACTCCAGAACGAGTGTTTCAAACCTGCTCTATGAAAGGGAATCTTCAACTCTATGAGTTGAATGCAGACATCAGAAAGAAATTTCTGGGAATGCTGCTGTCTAGTTTTTATATGAATTCCCGCTTCCAACGAAATCCTCCAAGCTATCCAAATATCCACCTGCATTTTCCACAAAAAGAGTGTTTCAAAACTGCTCTATCAATAGAAATGTTCAACTCCTTTGGCTGGGTACACACATCACAAACAAGTTTCTGAGAATGCTTCTGTCTATTTTTTATGGGAAGATATTTCCTTTTTCACCGTAGGCGTCAAGGCGATCGAAATGTCCACTTCCACAAACTACAAAAAGAGTGTTTCAAACCTGCTCTATGAAAGGCCATGTTCATCTCTATGAGTCGAATGGAAATATCCGAAAGAAATTTCTGGGAATGCTGCTGTCTAGTTTTTATATGAATTCCCGCTTCCAACGAAATCCTCAAAGCAATCCAAATATCCACTTGCAGAATCCACAAAAAGAGTGTTTCAAAACTGCTCTATCAATAGAAAGGTTCAACTCTTTTAGTTGAGTACACACATCACAAACAAGTTTCTGAGAATGCTTCTGTCTGTCTTTTATTGGAAGACGTTTCCTTTTCACCAAAGGCATCAAAGCGCTCCAAATGTCCACTTCCAGATTCTTCCAAAAGAGTGTTTCAAACGTGCTCGAAGTAAGGGAATGTTCTACTCTGTGACTTGAATGCAGATATCACCAAGTAGTTTCTAATAGTGCTTCTGTGTATACGTTAGATGAAGATATTCCCGTTTCCAACGATATCGTTAGACCTACCCAAATATCCACTTACAGTTTCTACAAAAAGAGTGTTTCCAAACTGCTGCATCAACAGAAAGTTTCAACTCTGTTAGTTGAGGACACACATCACAAAGAAGTTTCTGAGAAAGCTTCTGTCTAGATTTTGTATGATGATATTCCCTTTTCCAACGATATCGTTAAAGCAATCTAAATATCAATTTGCAGAATCCACAAAAATAGAGTTTCAAAGCTGCTCTGTAAAAAGAAAGGTTCCACTCTGCTAGCTGAGTACACACATCACAAACTTGTTTCTGAGAATCCTGCTGTCTACCTTTTATTTGAATTCCCGCTTCCAACGAAATCCTCCAAGCTATCCAAATATCCACTTGCAGATTCCACAAAAAGAGTGTTTCAAAACTGCTCTCTATCAATGGCAAAGTTCAACTCTGTTAGTTGAGGACACATATCACCAACAAGTTTCTGAGAATGCTTCTGTCTATTTTTTATGGGAAGATATTTCCTTTTTCACCGTAGGCGTCAAGGCGATCGAAATGTCCACTTCCACAAACTACAAAAAGAGTGTTTCAATATGAAAGGCCATGTTCATCTCTATGAGTTGAATGGAAATATCCGAAAGAAATTTCTGGGAATGCTGCTGTCTAGTGTTTATACGAATTCCCGCTTCCAACGAAATCCTCAAAGCAATCCAAATATCCACTTGCAGAATCCACAAAAAGAGTGTTTCAAAACTGCTCTATCAATAGAAAGGTTCAACTCTTTTAGTTGAGTACACACATCACGAACAAGTTTCTGAGAATGCTTCTGTCTGGCATTTATTGGAAGACGTTTCCTTTTCACCAAAGGCATCAAAGCGCTCCAAATGTCCACTTCCAGATTCTTCCAAAAGAGTGTTTCAAACGTGGTCGAAGTAAGGGAATGTTCAACTCTGTGACTTGAATGCAGATATCACCAAGTAGTTTCTAATAGTGCTTCTGTCTAGATTTTAGATGATGATATTCCCGTTTCCAATGAAATCGTTAGAGCTATCCAAATATCCACTTACAGTTTCTACCAAAAGGGTGTTTCCAAATTGCTGCATCAAAAGAAAGGTTCAACTCTGTTAGTTGAGGACACACATCACAAAGAAGTTTGTGAGAATGCTTCTGTCTAGATTTTGTATGACGATATTCCCTTTTCCAACGATATCGTTAAAGCAATCTAAATATCAATTTGCAGAATCCACAAAAATAGAGTTTCAAAGCTGCTCTGTAAAAAGAAAGGTTCCACTCTGTTAGCTGAGTACACACATCACAGACTTGTTTCTCAGAATCCTTCTGTCTCGTTTTTATGGGAAGATATTTACTTTTTCACCGTAGGCATCAAAGCGCTGCAAATGTCCACATCCAGATACTCCAGAAAGAGTGTTTCAAACCTGCTCTATGAAAGGGAATCTTCAACTCTATGAGTTGAATGCAGACATCAGAAAGAAATTTCTGAGAATGCTGCTGTCTACCTTTTATTTGAATTCCCGCTTCCAACGAAAACCTCCAAGCTATCCAAATATCCACTTGCAGATTCCACAAAAAGAGTGTTTCAAAACTGCTCTATCAATAGAAATGTTCAACTCCTTTCGCTGGGTACACACATCAAAAACAAGTTTCTGAGAAAGCTTCTGTCTAGTTTTTATGGGAAGACGTTCCCTTTTTCACCAAAGGCATCAAAGCGCTCCAAATGTCCACTTCCAGACACTACAAAAAGAGTGTTTCAAACGTGCTCTAAGAAACCGAATGTTCAACTCTGTGAGTTGAATGCAGATATCACAAAGTAGTTTCTGAGAGGGCTTCTGTCTAGATATTAGATGATGATATTCCCGTTTCCAACGAAATCATTAGAGCTATCCAAATATCCACTTACAGTTTCTACAAAAAGAGTGTTTCCAAACTGCTGCATCAAAAGAGAGGTTCCACTCTGTTAGCTGAGTACACACATCACAAACTTGTTTCTCAGAATCCTTCTGTCTCGTTTTTATGGGAAGATATTTACTTTTTCACCGTAGGCATCCAAGCGCTCCAAATGTCCACATCCAGATACTCCAGAAAGAGTGTTTCAAACCTGCTCTAAGAAAGGGAATCTTCAACTCTATGAGTTGAATGCAGACATCAGAAAGAAATTTCTGAGAATGCTGCTGTCTACCTTTTATTTGAATTCCCGCTTCCAACGAAATCCTCCAAGCTATCCAAATATCCACTTGCAGATTCCACAAAAAGAGTGTTTCAAAACTGCTCTCTATCAATGGCAAAGATCAACTCTGTTAGTTGAGGACACATATCACCAACAAGTTTCTGAGAATGCTTCTGTCTATTTTTTATGAGAAGATATTTCCTTTTTCACCATAGGCATCAGGGCGATCGAAATGTCCACTTCCACAAACTACAAAAAGAGTGTTTCAAACCTGCTCTATGAAAGGCCATGTTCATCTCTATGAGTTGAATGGAAATATCCGAAAGAAATTTCTGGAAATGCTGCTGTCTAGTTTTTATATGAATTCCCGCTTCCAACGAAATCCTCAAAGCAATCCAAATATCCACTTGCAGAATCCACAAAAAGAGTGTTTCAAAACTGCTCTATCAATAGAAAGGTTCAACTCTTTTAGTTGAGTACACACATCACCAACAAGTTTCTGAGAATGCTTCTGTCTGGCTTTTATTGGAAGACGTTTCCTTTTCACCAAAGGCATCAAAGCGCTCCAAATGTCCACTTCCAGATTCTTCCAAAAGAGTGTTTCAAACGTGCTCGAAGTAAGGGAATGTTCTACTCTGTGACTTGAATGCAGATATCACCAAGTAGTTTCTAATAGTGCTTCTGTCTAGATTTTAGATGATGATATTCCCGTTTCCAACAAAATCGTTAGAGCTATCCAAATATCCAGTTACAGTTTCTACCAAAAGGGTGTTTCCAAATTGCTGCATCAAAAGAAAGGTTCAACTCTGTTAGTTGAGGACACACATCACAAAGAAGTTTGTGAGAATGCTTCTGTCTAGCATTTTGTATGACGATATTCCCTTTTCCAACGATATCGTTAAAGCAATCTAAATATCCATTTGCAGAATCCACAAAAATAGAGTTTCAAAGCTGCTCTGTAAAAAGAAAGGTTCCACTCTGTTAGCTGAGTACACACATCACAAACTTGTTTCTCAGAATCCTTCTGTCTCGTTTTTATGGGAAGATATTTACTTTTCCACCGTAGGCATCAAAGCGCTCCAAATGTCCACATCCAGATACTCCAGAACGAGTGTTTCAAACCTGCTCTATGAAAGGGAATCTTCAACCTCTATGAGTTGAATGCAGACATCAGAAAGAAATTTCTGAGAATGCTGCTGTCTACCTTTTATTTGAATTCCCGCGTCCAACGAAATCCTCCAAGCTATCCAAATATCCACTTGCATTTTCCACAAAAAGAGTGTTTCAAAACTGCTCTATCAATAGAAATGTTCAACTCCTTTGGCTGGGTACACACATCACAAACAAGTTTCTGAGAATGCTTCTGTCTAGTTTTTATGGGAAGACGTTCCCTTTTTCACCAAAGGCATCAAAGCGCTCCAAATGTCCACTTCCAGACACTACAAAAAGAGTGTTTCCAACGTGCTCTAAGAAAGCGAATGTTCAACTCTGTGACTTGAATGCAGATATCACAAAGTAGTTTCTGAGAGGGCTTCTGTCTAGATTTTAGATGATGATATTCCCGTTTCCAACGGAATCATTAGAGCTATCCAAATATCCACTTACAGTTTCTACAAAAAGAGTGTTTCCAAACTGCTGCATCAAAAGAGAGGTTCCACTCTGTTAGCTGAGTACACACATCACAAACTTGTTTCTCAGAATCCTTCTGTCTCGTTTTTATGGGAAGATATTTACTTTTTCACCGTAGGCATCAAAGCGCTCCAAATGTCCACATCCAGATACTCCAGAAAGAGTGTTTCAAACCTGCTCTATGAAAGGGAATGTTCAACTCTATGAGTTGAATGCAGACATCAGAAAGAAATTTCTGAGAATGCTGCTGTCTACCTTTTATTTGAATTCCCGCTTCCAACGAAATCCTCCAAGCTATCCAAATATCCACTTGCAGATTCCACAAAAAGAGTGTTTCAAAACTGCTCTCTATCAATGGCAAAGTTCAACTCTGTTAGTTGAGGACACATATCACCAAGAAGTTTCTGAGAATGCTTCTGTCTATTTTTTATGGGAAGATATTTCCTTTTTCACCGTAGGCGTCAAGGCGATCGAAATGTCCACTTCCACAAACTACAAAAAGAGTGTTTCAAACCTGCTCTATGAAAGGCCATGTTCATCTCTATGATTTGAATGGAAATATCCGAAAGAAATTTCTGGGAATGCTGCTGTCTAGTGTTTATACGAATTCCCGCTTCCAACGAAATCCTCAAAGCAATCCAAATATCCACTTGCAGAATCCACAAAAAGAGTGTTTCAAAACTGCTCTATCAATAGAAAGGTTCAACTCTTTTAGTTGAGTACACACATCACGAACAAGTTTCTGAGAATGCTTCTGTCTGGCTTTTATTGGAAGACGTTTCCTTTTCACCAAAGGCATCAAAGCGCTCCAAATGTCCACTTCCAGATTCTTCCAAAAGAGTGTTTCAAACGTGCTCAAAGTAAGGGAATGTTCAACTCTGTGACTTGAATGCAGATATCACCAAGTAGTTTCTAATAGTGCTTCTGTCTAGATTTTAGATGATGATATTCCCGTTTCCAATGAAATCGTTAAATCTATCCAAATATCCACTTACAGTTTCTACAAAAAGAGTGTTTCCAAACTGCTGCATCAAAAGGAAGGTTCAACTCTGTTAGTTGAGGACACACATCACAAAGATGTTTGTGAGAATGCTTCTGTCTAGATTTTGTATGACCATATTCCCTTTTCCAACGATATCGTTAAAGAAATCTAAATATCAATTTGCAGAATCCACAAAAATAGAGTTTCAAAGCTGCTCTGTAAAAAGAAAGGTTCCGCTCTGTTAGCTGAGTACACACATCACAAACTTGTTTCTGAGAATCCTTCTGTCTCGTTTTTATGGGAAGATATATACTTTTCCACCGTAGGCATCAAAGCGCTCCAAATGTCCACATCTAGATACTCCAGAACGAGTGTTTCAAACCTGCTCTATGAAAGGGAATCTTCAACTCTATGAGTTGAATGCAGACATCAGAAAGAAATTTCTGAGAATGCTGCTGTCTACCTTTTATTTGAATTCCCGCTTCCAACGAAAACCTCCAAGCTATCCAAATATCCACTTGCAGATTCCACAAAAAGAGTGTTTCAAAACTGCTCTATCAATAGAAATGTTCAACTCCTTTCGCTGGGTACACACATCACAAACAAGTTTCTGAGAAAGCTTCTGTCTAGTTTTTATGGGTAGACATTCCCTTTTTCACCAAAGGCAATCAAAGCGCTCCAAATGTCCACTTCCAGACACTACAAAAAGAGTGTTTCAAACGTGCTCTAAGAAAGCGAATGTTCAACTCTGTGACTTGAATGCAGATATCACAAAGTAGTTTCTGAGAGTGCTTCTGTCTAGATTTTAGATGATGATATTCCCGTTTCCAACGAAATCATTAGAGCTATCCAAATATCCACTTACAGTTTCTACAAAAAGAGTGTTTCCAAACTGCTGCATCAAAAGAGAGGTTCCACTCTGTTAGCTGAGTACACACATCACAAACTTGTTTCTGAGAATCCTTCTGTCTCGTTTTTATGGGAAGATATTTACTTTTTCACCGTAGGCATCAAAGCGCTCCAAATGTCCTCATCCAGATACTCCAGAAAGAGTGTTTCAAACCTGCTCTATGAAAGGGAATCTTCAACTCTATGAGTTGAATGCAGACATCAGAAAGAAATTTCTGAGAATGCTGCTGTCTACCTTTTATTTGAATTCCCGCTTCCAACGAAATCCTCCAAGCTATCCAAATATCCACTTGCAGATTCCACAAAAAGAGTGTTTCAAAACTGCTCTCTATCAATGGCAAAGTTCAACTCTGTTAGTTGAGGACACATATCACCAACAAGTTTCTGAGAATGCTTCTGTCTATTTTTTATGGGAAGATATTTCCTTTTTCACCGTAGGCGTCAAGGCGATCGAAATGTCCACTTCCACAAACTATAAAAAGAGTGTTTCAAACCTGCTCTATGAAAGGCCATGTTCATCTCTATGAGTTGAATGGAAATATCCGAAAGAAATTTCTGGGAATGCTGCTGTCTAGTGTTTATACGAATTCCCGCTTCCAACGAAATCCTCAAAGCAATCCAAATATCCACTTGCAGAATCCACAAAAAGAGTGTTTCAAAACTGCTCTATCAATAGAAAGGTTCAACTCTTTTAGTTGAGTACACACATCACGAACAAGTTTCTGAGAATGCTTCTGTCTGGCTTTTATTGGAAGACGTTTCCTTTTCACCAAAGGCATCAAAGCGCTCCAAATGTCCACTTCCAGATTCTTCCAAAAGAGTGTTTCAAACGTGCTCGAAGTAAGGGAATGTTCAACTCTGTGACTTGAATGCAGATATCACCAAGTAGTTTCTAATAGTGCTTCTGTCTACATTTTAGATGATGATATTCCCGTTTCCAACGAAATCGTTAGAGCTATCCAAATATCCAGTTACAGTTTCTACCAAAAGGGTGTTTCCAAATTGCTGCATCAAAAGAAAGGTTCAACTCTGTTAGTTGAGGACACACATCACAAAGAAGTTTGTGAGAATGCTTCTGTCTAGATTTTGTATGACGGTATTCCCTTTTCCAACGATATCGTTAAAGCAATCTAAATATCAATTTGCAGAATCCACAACAATAGAGTTTCAAAGCTGCTCTGTAAAAAGAAAGGTTCCACTCTGTTAGCTGAGTACACACATCACAAACTTGTTTCTGAGAATCCTTCTGTCTCGTTTTTATGGGAAGATATTTACTTTTCCACCGTAGGCATCAAAGCGCTCCAAATGTCCACATCCGGATACTCCAGAACGAGTGTTTCAAACCTGCTCTATGAAAGGGAATCTTCAACTATATGAGTTGAATGCAGACATCAGAAAGAAATTTCTGAGAATGCTGCTGTCTAACTTTTATTTGAATTCCCGCTTCCAACGAAATCCTCCAAGCTATCCAAATATCCACCTGCATTTTCCACAAAAAGAGTGTTTCAAAACTGCTCTATCAATAGAAATGTTCAACTCCTTTGGGTGGGTACACACATCACAAACAAGTTTCTGAGAATGCTTCTGTCTAGTTTTTATGGGTAGACATTCCCTTTTTCACCAAAGGAATCAAAGCGCTCCAAATGTCCACTTCCAGACACTACAAAAAGAGTGTTTCCAACGTGCTCTAAGAAAGCGAATGTTCAACTCTGTGACTTGAATGCAGATATCACAAAGTAGTTTCTGAGAGGGCTTCTGTCTAGATTTTAGATGATGATATTCCCGTTTCCAACGAAATCATTAGAGCTATCCAAATATCCACTTACAGTTTCTACAAAAAGAGTTTTTCCAAACTGCTGCATCAAAAGAGAGGTTCCACTCTGTTAGCTGAGTACGCCCATCACAAACTTGTTTCTCAGAATCCTTCTGTCTCGTTTTTATGGGAAGATATTTACTTTTTCACCGTAGGCATCCAAGCGCTCCAAATGTCCACATCCAGATACTCCAGAAAGAGTGTTTCAAACCTGCTTTATGAAAGGGAGTCTTCAACTCTATGAGTTGAATGCAGACATCAGAAGGAAATTTCTGAGAATGCTGCTGTCTACCTTTTATTTGAATTCCCGCTTCCAACGAAATCCTCCAAGCTATCCAAATATCCACTTGCATTTTCCACAAAAAGAGTGTTTAAAAACTGCTCTATCAATAGAAATGTTCAACTCCTTTAGCTGGGTACACACATCACAAACAAGTTTCTGAGAATGCTTCTGTCTAGTTTTTATGGGAAGACATTCCCTTTTTCACCAAAGCCATCAAAGCGCTCCAAATGTCCACTTCCAGACACTACAAAAAGAGTGTTTCAAACGTGCTCTAAGAAAGCGAATGTTCAACTCTGTGACTTGAATGCAGATATCACAAAGTAGTTTCTGAGAGGGCTTCTGTCTAGATTTTAGATGATGATATTCCCGTTTCCAACGAAATCATTAGAGCTATCCAAATATCCACTTACAGTTTCTACAAAAAGAGTATTTCCAAACTGCTGCATCAAAAGAGAGGTTCCACTCTGTTAGCTGAGTACACACATCACAAACTTGTTTCTCAGAATCCTCTGTCTCGTTTTTCTGGGAAGATATTTACTTTTTCACCGTAGGCATCAAAGCGCTCCAAATGTCCACATCCAGATACTCCAGAAAGAGTGTTTCAAACCTGCTCTATGAAAGGGAATCTTCAACTCTATGAGTTGAATGCAGACATCAGAAAGAAATTTCTGAGAATGCTGCTGTCTACCTTTTATTTGAATTCCCGCTTCCAACGAAATCCTCCAAGCTATCCAAATATCCACTTGCAGATTCCACAAAAAGAGTGTTTCAAAACTGCTCTCTATCAATGGCAAAGTTCAACTCTGTTAGTTGAGGACACATATCACCAACAAGTTTCTGAGAATGCTTCTGTCTATTTTTTATGGGAAGATATTTCCTTTTTCACCGTAGGCGTCAAAGCGATCGAAATGTCCACTTCCACAAACTACAAAAAGAGTGTTTCAATATGAAAGGCCATGTTCATCTCTATGAGTTGAATGGAAATATCCAAAAGAAATTTCTGGGAATGCTGCTGTCTAGTGTTTATACGAATTCCCGCTTCCAACGAAATCCTCAAAGCAATCCAAATATCCACTTGCAGAATCCACAAAAAGAGTGTTTCTAAACTGCTCTATCAATAGAAAGGTTCAACTCTTTTAGTTGAGTACACACATCACGAATAAGTTTCTGAGAATGCTTCTGTCTGGCTTTTATTGGAAGACGTTTCCTTTTCACCAAAGGCATCAAAGCGCTCCAAATGTCCACTTCCAGATTCTTCCAAAAGAGTGTTTCAAACGTGCTCGAAGTAAGGGAATGTTCTACTCTGTGACTTGAATGCAGATATCACCAAGTAGTTTCTAATAGTGCTTCTGTCTAGATTTTAGATGATGATATTCCCGTTTCCAACGAAATCGTTAGAGCTATCCAAATATCCAGTTACAGTTTCTACCAAAAGGGTGTTTCCAAATTGCTGCATCAAAAGAAAGGTTCAACTCTGTTAGTTGAGGACACACATCACAAAGAAGTTTGTGAGAATGCTTCTCTCTAGATTTTGTATGAAGATATTCCCTTTTCCAACGATATCGTTAAATCAACCCAAATATCAATTTGCAGAATCCACAGATATAGAGTTTCAAAGCTGCTCTGTAAAAAGAAAGGATCCACTCTGTTAGCTGAGTACACACATCACAAACTTGTTTCTGAGAATCCTGCTGTCTACCTTTTATTTGAATTCCCGCTTCCAACGAAATCCTCCAAGCTATCCAAATATCCACCTGCATTTTCCACAACAAGAGTGTTTCAAAACTGCTCTATCAATAGAAATGTTCAACTCCTTTGGCTGGGTACACACATCACAAACAACTTTCTGAGAATGCTTCTGTCTAGTTTTTATGGGAAGACATTCCCTTTTTCACCAAAGACATCAAAGCGCTCCAAATGTCCACTTCCAGACACCACAAAAAGAGTGTTTCAAACGTGCTCTAAGAAAGCGAATGTTCAACTCTGTGACTTGAATGCAGATATCACAAAGTAGTTTCTGAGAGGGCTTCTGTCTAGATTTTATATGATGATATTCCCGTTTCCAACGAAATCATTAGAGCTATCCAAATATCCACTTACAGTTTCTACAAAAAGAGTGTTTCCAAACTGCTGCATCAAAAGAGAGGTTCCACTCTGTTAGCTGAGTACACACATCACAAACTTGTTTCTCAGAATCCTTCTGTCTCGTTTTTATGGGAAGATATTTACTTTCTCACCGTAGGCATCAAAGCGCTCCAAATGTCCACATCCAGATACTCGAGAAAGAGTGTTTCAAACCTGCTCTATGAAAGGGAATCTTCAACTCTATGAGTTGAATGCAGACATCAGAAAGAAATTTCTGAGAATGCTGCTGTCTACCTTTTATTTGAATTCCCGCTTCCAACGAAATCCTCCAAGCTATCCAAATATCCACTTGCAGATTCCACAGAAGGAGTGTTTCAAAACTGCTCTCTATCAATGGCAAAGTTCAACTCTGTTAGTTGAGGACACATATCACCAACAAGTTTCTGAGAATGCTTCTGTCTATTTTTTATGGGAAGATATTTCCTTTTTCACCGTAGGCGTCAAGGCGATCGAAATGTCCACTTCCACAAACTACAAAAAGAGTGTTTCAAACCTGCTCTATGAAAGGCCATGTTCATCTCTATGAGTTGAATGGATATATCGGAAAGAAATTTCTGGGAATGCTGCTGTCTAGTTTTTATACGAATTCCCGCTTCCAACGAAATCCTCAAAGCAATCCAAATATCCACTTGCAGAATCCACAAAAAGAGTGTTTCAAAACTGCTCTATCAATAGAAAGGTTCAACTCTTTTAGTTGAGTACACACATCACAAACAAGTTTCTGAGAATGCTTCTGTCTGGCTTTTATTGGAAGACGTTTCCTTTTCACCAAAGGCATCAAAGCACTCCAAATGTCCACTTCCAGATTCTTCCAAAAGAGTGTTTGAAACGTGCTCAAAGTAAGGGAATGTTCAACTCTGTGACTTGAATGCAGATATCACCAAGTAGTTTCTAATAGTGCTTCTGTCTAGATTTTAGATGATGATATTCCCGTTTCCAACGAAATCGTTAGAGCTATCCAAATATCCACTTACAGTTGCTACAAAAAGAGTGTTTCCAAACTGCTGCATCAAAAGAAAGGTTCAACTCTGTTAGTTGAGGACACACGTCACAAAGAAGTTTGTGAGAATGCTTCTGTCCAGATTTTGTATGACGATATTCCCATTTCCAACGATATCGTTAAAGCAATCTAAATATCAATTTGCAGAATCCACAAAAATAGAGTTTCAAAGCTGCTCTGTAAAAAGAAAGGTTCCACTCTGTTAGCTGAGTACACACATCACAAACTTGTTTCTCAGAATCCTTCTGTCTCGTTTTTATGGGAAGATATTTACTTTTTCACCGTAGGCATCGCTCCAAATGTCCACATCCAGATACTCCAGAAAGACTGTTTCAAACCTGCTCTATGAAAGGGAATCTTCAACTCTATGAGTTGAATGCAGACATCAGAAAGAAATTTCTGAGAATGCTGCTGTCTACCTTTTATTTGAATTCCCGCTTCCAACGAAATCCTCCAAGCTATCCAAATATCCACTTGCATTTTCCACCAAAAGAGTGTTTCAAAACTGCTCTATCAATAGAAATGTTCAAATCCTTTAGCTGGGTACACACATCACAAACAAGTTTCTGAGAATGCTTCTGTCTAGTTTTTATGGGTAGACATTCCCTTTTTCACAAAAGGAATCAAAGCGCTCCAAATGTCCACTTCCAGACACTACAAAAAGAGTGTTTCAAACGTGCTCTAAGAAAGCGAATGTTCAACTCTGTGACTTGAATGCAGATATCACAAAGTAGTTTCTGAGAGGGCTTCTGTCTAGACTTTAAATGATGATATTCCCGTTTCCAACGAAATCATTAGAGCTATCCAAATATCCACTTACAGTTTCTACAAAAAGAGTGTTTCCAAACTGCTGCATCAAAAGAGAGGTTCCACTCTGTTAGCTGAGTACACACATCACAAACTTGTTTCTCAGAATCCTTCTGTCTCGTTTTTATGGGAAGATATTTACTTTTTCACCGTAGGCATCAAAGCGCTCCAAATGTCCACATCCAGATACCCCAGAAAGAGTGTTTCAAACCTGCTCTATGAAAGGGAATCTTCAACTCTATGAGTTGAATGCAGACATCAGAAAGAAATTTCTGAGAATGCTGCTGTCTACCTTTTATTTGAATTCTCACTTCCAACGAAATCCTCCAAGCTATCCAAATATCCACTTGCATTTTCCACAAAAAGAGTGTTTCAAAACTGCTCTCTATCAATGGCAAAGTTCAACTCTGTTAGTTGAGGACACATATCACCAACAAGTTTCTGAGAATGCTTCTGTCTATTTTTTATGGGAAGATATTTCCTTTTTCACCGTAGGCGTCAAGGCGATCGAAATGTCCACTTCCACAAACTACAAAAAGAGTGTTTCAAACCTGCTCTATTAAAGGCCATGTTCATCTCTATGAGTTGAATGGAAATATCCGAAAGAAATTTCTGGGAATGCTGCTGTCTAGTGTTTATACGAATTCCCGCTTCCAACGAAATCCTCAAAGCAATCCAAATATCCACTTGCAGAATCCACAAAAAGAGTGTTTCAAAACTGCTCTATCAATAGAAAGGTTCAACTCTTTTAGTTGAGTACACACATCACGAACAAGTTTCTGAGAATGCTTCTGTCTGGCTTTTATTGGAAGACGTTTCCTTTTCACCAAAGGCATCAAAAGGCTCCAAATGTCCACTTCCAGATTCTTCCAAAAGAGTGTTTCAAACGTGCTCGAAGTAAGGGAATGTTCAACTCTGTGACTTGAATGCAGATATCACCAAGTAGTTTCTAATAGTGCTTCTGTCTAGATTTTAGATGATGATATTCCCGTTTCCAACGAAATCATTAGAGCTATCCAAATATGCAGTTACAGTTTCTACCAAAAGGGTGTTTCCAAATTGCTGCATCAAAAGAAAGGTTCAACTCTGTTAGTTGAGGACACACATCACAAAGAAGTTTGTGAGAATGCTTCTGTCTAGATTTTGTATGACGATATTCCCTTTTCCAACGATATCGTTAAAGCAATCTAAATATCAATTTGCAGAATCCACAAAAATAGAGTTTCAAAGCTGCTCTGTGAAAAGAAAGGTTCCACTCTGTTAGCTGAGTACACACATCACAAACTTGTTTCTCAGAATCCTTCTGTCTCGTTTTTATGGGAAGATATTTACTTTTCCACCGTAGGCATCAAAGCGCTCCAAATGTCCACATCCAGATACTCCAGAACGAGTGTTTCAAACCTGCTCTATGAAAGGGAATCTTCAACTCTATCAGTTGAATGCAGACATCAGAAAGAAATTTCTGAGAATGCTGCTGTCTACCTTTTATTTGAATTCCCGCTTCCAACGAAATCCTCCAAGCTATCCAAATATCCACTTGCATTTTCCACAACAAGAGTGTTTCAAAACTGCTCTATCAATAGAAATGTTCAACTCCCTTTGGCTGGGTACACACATCACAAACAAGTTTCTGAGAATGCTTCTGTGTAGTTTTTATGGGTAGACATTCCCTTTTTCACCAAAGGAATCAAAGCGCTCCAAATGTCCACTTCCAGACACTACAAAAAGAGTGTTTCAAACGTGCTCTAAGAAAGCGAATGTTCAACTCTGTGACTTGAATGCAGATATCACAAAGTAGTTTCTGAGAGGGCTTCTGTCTAGACTTTAGATGATGATATTCCCGTTTCCAACGAAATCATTAGAGCTATCCAAATATCCACTTACAGTTTCTACAAAAAGAGTGTTTCCAAACTGCTGCATCAAAAGAGAGGTTCCACTCTGTTAGCTGAGTACACACATCACAAACTTGTTTCTCAGAATCCTTCTGTCTCGTTTTTATGGGAAGATATTTACTTTTTCACCGTAGGCATCAAAGCGTTCCAAATGTCCACATCCAGATAGTGCAGAAAGAGTGTTTCAAGCCTGCTCTATGAAAGGGAATGTTCAACTCTATGAGTTGAATGCAAACATCACAAAGAAATTTCTGAGAATGCTGCTGTCTACCTTTTATTTGAACTCCCGCTTCCAACGAAATCCTCCAAACTATCCAAATATCCACTTGCATTTTCCACAAAAAGAGTGCTTCAAAACTGCTCTATCAATAAATGTTCAACTCCTTTAGCTGGGTGCACACATCACAAACAAGTTTCTGAGAATGCTTCTGTCTAGTTTTTATGGGAAGACATTTCCTTTTTCACCAAAGGCATCAAAGAGCTCCAAATGTCCACTTCCAGATACTACAAAAAGAGTGTTTCAAAAGTGCTCTAAGAAACCGAATGTTCAACTCTGTGACTTGAATGCAGATATCAAAAAGTAGTTTCTGAGAGTGCTTCTGTCTAGATTTTAGATGATGATATTCCCGTTTCCAACGAAATCATCAGAGCTATCCAAATATCCACTTACAGTTTCTACAAAAAGAGTGTTTCCAAACTGCTGCATCAAAACAGAGGTTCCACTCTGTTAGCTGAGTACACACATCACAAACTAGTTTCTCAGAATCCTTCTGTCTCGTTTTTATGGGAAGATATTTACTTTTTCACCATAGGTATCAAAGCGCTCCAAATGTCCACATCCAGATACTCCAGAAAGAGTGTTTCAAACCTGCTCTATGAAAGGGAATCTTCAACTCTATGAGTTGAATGCAGACATCAGAAAGAAATTTCTGAGAATGCTGCTGTCTACCTTTTATTTGAATTCCCGCTTCCAACGAAATCCTCCAAGCTATCCAAATATCCACTTGCAGATTCCACAAAAAGAGTGTTTCAAAACTGCTCTCTATCAATGGCAAAGTTCAACTCTGTTAGTTGAGGACACATATCACCAACAAGTTTCTGAGAATGCTTCTGTCTATTTTTCATGGGAAGATATTTCCTTTTTCACCGTAGGCGTCAAGGCGATCGAAATGTCCACTTCCACAAACTACAAAAAGAGTGTTTCAATATGAAAGGCCATGTTCATCTCTATGAGTTGAATGGAAATATCCGAAAGAAATTTCTGGGAATGCTGCTGTCTACCTTTTATTTGAATTCCCGCTTCCAACGAAATCCTCCAAGCTATCCAAATATCCACCTGCATTTTCCACAAAAAGAGCGTTTCAAAACTGCTCTATCAATAGAAATGTTCAACTCCTTTGGCTGGGTACACACATCACAAACAAGTTTGCTGAGAATGCTTTCTGTCTAGTTTTTATGGGAAGACATTCCCTTTTTCACCAAAGGCATCAAAGCGCTCCAAATGTCCACTTCCAGACACTACAAAAAGAGTGTTTCCAACGTGCTCTAAGAAAGCGAATCTTCAACTCTGTGACTTGAATGCAGATATCACAAAGTAGTTTCTAATAGTGCTTCTGTCTAGCATTTTAGATGATGATATTCCCGTTTCCAACGAAATCGTTAGAGCTATCCAAATATCCACTTACAGTTTCTACAAAAAGAGTGTTTCCAAACTGCTGCATCAAAAGAAAGGTTCAACTCTGTTAGTTGAGGACACACGTCACAAAGAAGTTTGTGAGAATGCTTCTGTCCAGATTTTGTATGACAATATTCCCTTTTCCAACGATATCGTTAAAGCAATCTAAATATCAATTTGCAGAATCCACAAAAATAGAGTTTCAAAGCTGCTCTGTAAAAAGAAAGGTTCCACTCTGTTAGCTGAGTACACACATCACAAACTTGTTTCTCAGAATCCTTCTGTCTCGTTTTTCTGGGAAGATATTTACTTTTTCACCGTAGGCATCAAAGCGCTCCAAATGTACACATCCAGATACTCCAGAAAGAGTGTTTCAAACCTGCTCTATGAAAGGGAATCTTCAACTCTATGAGTTGAATGCAGACATCAGAAAGAAATTTCTGAGAATGCTGCTGTCTACCTTTTATTTGAATTCCCGCTTCCAACGAAATCCTCCAAGCTATCCAAATATCCACTTGCATTTTCCACAAAAAGAGTGTTTCAAAACTGCTCTATCAATAGAAATGTTCAACTCCATTAGCTGGGTACACACATCACAAACAAGTTTCTGAGAATGCTTCTGTCTAGTTTTTATGGGAAGACATTCCCTTTTTCACCAAAGGCATCAAAGCGCTCCAAATGTCCACTTCCAGACACTACAAAAAGAGTGTTTCAAACGTGCTCTAAGAAACCGAATGTTCAACTCTGTGACTTGAATGCAGATATCACAAAGTAGTTTCTGAGAGGGCTTCTGTCTAGATTTTAGATGATGATATTCCCGTTTCCAACGAAATCATTACAGCTATCCAAATATCCACTTACAGTTTCTACAAAAAGAGTGTTTCCAAACTGCTGCATCAAAAGAGAGGTTCCACTCTGTTAGCTGAGTACACACATCACAAACTTTTTTCTCAGAATCCTTCTGTCTCGTTTTTATGGGAAGATTATACTTTTTCACCGTAGGCATCAAAGCGCTCCAAATGTCCACATCCAGATACTCCAGAAAGAGTGTTTCAAACCTGCTCTATGAAAGGGAATCTTCAACTCTATGAGTTGAATGCAGACATCAGAAAGAAATTTCTGAGAATGCTGCTGTCTACCTTTTATTTGAATTCCCGCTTCCAACGAAATCCTCCAAGCTATCCAAATATCCACTTGCAGATTCCACAAAAAGAGTGTTTCAAAACTGCTCTCTATCAATGGCAAAGTTCAACTCTGTTAGTTGAGGACACATATCACCAACAAGTTTCTGAGAATGCTTCTGTCTATTTTTCATGGGAAGATATTTCCTTTTTCACCGTAGGCGTCAAGGCGATCGAAATGTCCACTTCCACAAACTACAAAAAGAGTGTTTCAAACCTGCTCTATGAAAGGCCATGTTCATCTCTATGAGTTGAATGGAAATATCCGAAAGAAATTTCTGGGAATGCTGCTGTCTAGTGTTTATACGAATTCCCGCTTCCAACGAAATCCTCAAAGCAATCCAAATATCCACTTGCAGAATCCACAAAAAGAGTGTTTCAAAACTGCTCTATCAATAGAAAGGTTCAACTCTTTTAGTTGAGTACACACATCACCAACAAGTTTCTGAGAATGCTTCTGTCTGGCTTTTATTGGAAGACGTTTCCTTTTCACCAAAGGCATCAAAGCGCTCCAAATGTCCACTTCCAGATTCTTCCAAAAGAGTGTTTCAAACGTGCTCAAAGTAAGGGAATGTTCAACTCTGTGACTTGAATGCAGATATCACCAAGTAGTTTCTAATAGTGCTTCTGTCTAGATTTTAGATGATGATATTCCCGTTTCCAAGGAAATCGTTAGAGCTATCCAAATATCCAGTTACAGTTTCTACCAAAAGGGTGTTTCCAAATTGCTGCATCAAAAGAAAGGTTCAACTCTGTTAGTTGAGGACACACATCACAAAGAAGTTTGTGAGAATGCTTCTGTCTAGATTTTGTATGACCATATTCCCTTTTCCAGCGATATCATTAAAGCAATCTAAATATCCATTTGCAGAATCCACAAAAATAGAGTTTCAAAGCTGCTCTGTAAAAAGAAAGGTTCCACTCTGTTAGCTGAGTACACACATCACAAACTTGTTTGCTCAGAATACCTTCTGTCTCGTTTTTATGGGAAGATATTTACTTTTCCACCGTAGGCATCAAAGCGCTCCAAATGTCCACATCCATATACTCCAGAACGAGTGTTTCAAACCTACTCAATGAAAGGGAATCTTCAACTCTATGAGTTGAATGCAGACATCAGAAAGAAATTTCTGAGAATGCTGCTGTCTACCTTTTATTTGAATTCCCGCTTCCAACGAAATCCTCCAAGCTATCCAAATATCCACTTGCATTTTCCACAAAAAGAGTGTTTCAAAACTGCTCTATCAATAGAAATGTTCAACTCCATTAGCTGGGTACACACATCACAAACAAGTTTCCTGAGAATGCTTCTGTCTAGTTTTTATGGGAAGACATTCCCTTTTTCACCAAAGGCATCAGAGCGCTCCAAAGGTCCACTTTCAGACACTACAAAAAGAGTGTTTCAAACGTGCTCTAAGAAAGCGAATGTTCAACTCTGTGACTTGAATGCAGATATCACAAAGTAGTTTCTGAGAGGGCTTCTGTCTAGATTTTAGATGATGATATTCCCGTTTCCAATGAAATCATTAGAGCTATCCAAATATCCACTTACAGTTTCTACAAAAAGAGAGTTTCCAAAGTGCTGCATCAAAAGAGAGGTTCCACTCTGTTAGCTGAGGACACACATCACAAACATGTTTCTGAGAATCCTTCTGTCTAGCTTTTATGGGAAGATATTTTCTTTTTCACCATAGGCATCAAAGCGTTCCCAATGTCCACATCCAGATAGTACAGAAAGAGTGTTTCAAACCTGCTCTATGAAAGGGAATGTTCAACTCTATGAGTTGAATGCAAACATCACAAAGAAATTTCTGAGAATGCTGCTGTCTACCTTTCATTTGAATTCCCGCTTCCAACGAAATCCTCCAGGCTATCCAAATATCCACATGCAGATTCCACAAAAAGAGTGTTTCTAAACTGCTCTATCAATGGCAAGGTTCACCTCTGTCAGTTGAGGATTCACATCACAAACAAGTTTCTGAGAATTCTTCTGTCTATTTTTTATGGGAAGATATTTCCTTTTTCGCCGTAGGCGTCAAGGCGATCGAAATGTCCACTTCCACAAACTACAAAAAGAGTGTTTCAAACCTGCTCTATGAAAGGCCATGTTCATCTCTATGAGTCGAATGGAAATATCCGAAAGAAATTTCTGGGAATGCTGCTGTCTAGTTGTTATACGAATTCCCGCTTCCAACGAAATCCTCAAAGCAATCCAAATATCCACTTGCAGAATCCACAAAAAGAGTGTTTCAAAACTGCTCTATCAATAGAAAGGTTCAACTCTTTTAGTTGAGTACACACGTCAAGAACAAGTTTCTGAGAATGCTTCTGTCTGGCTTTTATTGGAAGACGTTTCCTTTTCACCAAAGGCATCAAAGCGCTCCAAATGTCCACTTCCAGATTCTTCCAAAAGAGTGTTTCAAACGTGCTCAAAGTAAGGGAATGTTCAACTCTTTGACTTGAATGCAGATATCACCAAGTAGTTTCTAATAGTGCTTCTGTCTAAATTTTAGATGACGATATTCCCGTTTCCAACGAAATCGTTACAGCTATCCAATTATCCACTTACAGTTTCTACAAAAAGAGTGTTTCCAAACTGCTGCATCAAAAGAAAGGTTCAACTCTGTTAGTTGAGGACACACATCACAAAGAAGTTTGTGAGAATGCTTCTGTCCAGATTTTGTATGACGATATTCCCTTTTCCAACGATATCATTAAAGCAATCTAAATATCCATTTGCAGAATCCACAAAAATAGAGTTTCAAAGCTGCTCTGTAAAAAGAAAGGTTCCACTCTGTTAGCTGAGTACACACATCACAAACTTGTCTCTCAGAATCCTTCTGTCTCGTTTTTATGGGAAGATATTTACTTTTTCACCGTAGGAATCAAAGCGCTCCAAATGTCCACATCCAGATACTCCAGAAAGAGTGTTTCAAACCTGCTCTATGAAAGGGAATGTTCAACTCTATGAGTTGAATGCAGACATCAGAAAGAAATTTCTGAGAATGCTGCTGTCTACCTTTTATTTGAATTCCCGCTTCCAACGAAATCCTCCAAGCTATCCAAATATCCACCTGCATTTTCCACAAAAAGAGTGTTTCGAAACTGCTCTATCAATAGAAATGTTCAACTCCTTTAGCTGGGTACACACATCACAAACAAGTTTCTGAGAATGCTTCTGTCTAGTTTTTATGGGAAGACATTCCCTTTTTCACCAAAGGCATCAAAGCGCTCCAAATGTCCACTTCCAGACACTACAAAAAGAGTGTTTCCAACGTGCTCTAAGAAAGCGAATGTTCAACTCTGTGACTTCAATGCAGATATCACAAAGTAGTTTCTGAGAGGGCTTCTGTCTAGATTTTAGATGATGATATTACCGTTTCCAAAGAAATCATTAGAGCTATCCAAATATCCACTTACAGTTTCTACAAAAAGAGTGTTTCCAAACTGCTGCATCAAAAGAGAGGTTCCACTCTGTTAGCTGAGTACACACATCACAAACTTGTTTCTCAGAATCCTTCTGTCTCGTTTTTATGGGAAGATATTTACTTTTTCACCGTAGGCATAAAAGCGCTCCAAATGTCCACATCCAGATACTCCAGAAAGAGTGTTTCAAACCTGCTCTATGAAAGGGAATGTTCAACTCTATGAGTTGAATGCAGACATCAGAAAGAAATTTCTGAGAATGCTGCTGTCTTTTATTTGAATTCCCGCTTCCAACGAAATCCTCCAAGCTATCCAAATATCCACTTGCAGATTCCACAAAAAGAGTGTTTCAAAACTGCTCTCTATCAATGGCAAAGTTCAACTCTGTTAGTTGAGGACACATATCACCAACAAGTTTCTGAGAATGCTTCTGTCTATTTTTTATGGGAAGATATTTCCTTTTTCACCGTAGGCGTCAAGGCGATCGAAATGTCCACTTCCACAAACTACAAAAAGAGTGTTTCAAACCTGCTCTATGAAAGGCCATGTTCATCTCTATGAGTTGAATGGAAATATCCGAAAGAAATTTCTGGGAATGCTGCTGTCTAGTGTTTATACGAATTCCCGCTTCCAACGAAATCCTCAAAGCAATCCAAATATCCACTTGCAGAATCCACAAAAAGAGTGTTTCAAAACTGCTCTATCAATAGAAAGGTTCAACTCTTTTAGTTGAGTACACACATCACGAACAAGTTTCTCAGAATGCTTCTGTCTGGCTTTTATTGGAAGACGTTTCCTTTTCACCAAAGGCATCAAAGCGCTCCAAATGTCCACTTCCAGATTCTTCCAAAAGAGTGTTTCAAACGTGCTCCAAGTAAGGGAATGTTCAACTCTGTGACTTGAATGCAGATATCACCAAGTAGTTTCTAATAGTGCTTCTGCCTACATTTTAGATGATGATATTCCCGTTTCCAACGAAATCGTTAGAGCTATCCAAATATCCAGTTACAGTTTCTACCAAAAGGGTGTTTCCAAATTGCTGCATCAAAAGAAAGGTTCAACTCTGTTAGTTGAGGACACACATCACAAAGAAGTTTGTGAGAATGCTTCTGTCTAGGTTTTGTATGACGATATTCCCTTTTCCAACGATATCGTTAAAGCAATCTAAATATCAATTTGCAGAATCCACAAAAATAGAGTTTCAAAGCTGCTCTGTAAAAAGAAAGGTTCCACTTCTGTTAGCTGAGTACACACATCACAAACTTGTTTCTCAGAATCCTTTCTGTCTCGTTTTTATGGGAAGATATTTACTTTTCCACCGTAGGCATCAAAGCGCTCCAAATGTCCACATCCAGATACTCCAGAACGAGTGTTTCAAACCTACTCTATGAAAGGGAATCTTCAACTCTATGAGTTGAATGCAGACATCAGAAAGAAATTTCTGAGAATGCTGCTGTCTACCTTTTATTTGAATTCCCGCTTCCAACGAAATCCTCCAAGCTATCCAAATATCCACTTGCATTTTCCACAACAAGAGTGTTTCAAAACTGCTCTATCAATAGAAATGTTCAACTCCTTTGGCTGGGTACACACATCACAAACAAGTTTCTGAGAATGCTTCTGTCTAGTTTTTATGGGAAGACGTTCCCTTTTTCACCAAAGGCATCAAAGCGCTCCAAATCTCCACTTCCAGACACTACAAAAAGAGTGTTTCAAACGTGCTCTAAGAAAGCGAATGTTCAACTCTGTGACTTGAATGCAGATATCACAAAGTAGTTTCTGAGAGGGCTTCTGTCTAGATTTTAGATGATGATATTCCCGTTTCCAACGGAATCATTAGAGCTATCCAAATATCCACTTACAGTTTCTACAAAAAGAGTGTTTCCAAACTGCTGCATCAAAAGAGAGGTTCCAGTCTGTTAGCTGAGTACACACATCACAAACTTGTTTCTCAGAATCCTTCTGTCTCGTTTTTATGGGAAGATATTTACTTTTTCACCGTAGGCATCAAAGCGCTCCAAATGTCCACATCCAGATACTCCAGAAAGAGTGTTTCAAACGTGCTCTATGAAAGGGAATCTTCAACTCTATGAGTTGAATGCAGACATCAGAAAGAAATTTCTGAGAATGCTGCTGTCTACCTTTTATTTGAATTCCCGCTTCCAACGAAATCCTCCAAGCTATCCAAATATCCACTTGCAGATTCCACAAAAAGAGTGTTTCAAAACTGCTCTCTGTCAATGGCAAAGTTCAACTCTGTTAGTTGAGGACACATATCACCAACAAGTTTCTGAGAATGCTTCTGTCTATTTTTTATGGGAAGATATTTCCTTTTTCACCGTAGGCGTCAAGGCGATCGAAATGTCCACTTCCACAAACTACAAAAAGAGTGTTTCAAACCTGCTCTATGAAAGGCCATGTTCATCTCTATGAGTCGAATGGAAATATCCGAAAGAAATTTCTGGGAATGCTGCTGTCTAGTGTTTATACGAATTCCCGCTTCCAACGAAATCCTCAAAGCAATCCAAATATCCACTTGCAGAATTCACAAAAAGAGTGTTTCAAAACTGCACTATCAATAGAAAGGTTCAACTCTTTTAGTTGAGTACACACATCACGAACAAGTTTCTGAGAATGCTTCTGTCTGGCTTTTTTTGGAAGACGTTTCCTTTTCACCAAAGGCATCAAAGCGCTCCAAATGTCCACTTCCAGATTCTTCCAAAAGAGTGTTTGAAACGTGCTCAAAGTAAGGGAATGTTCAACTCTGTGACTTGAATGCAGATATCACCAAGTAGTTTCTAATAGTGCTTCTGTCTAGATTTTAGATGATGATATTCCCGTTTCCAACGAAATCGTTAGAGCTATCCAAATATCCACTTACAGTTGCTACAAAAACAGTGTTTCCAAACTGCTGCATCAAAAGAAAGGTTCAACTCTGTTAGTTGAGGACACACATCACAAAGAAGTTTGTGAGAATGCTTCTGTCTAGATTTTGTATGACCATATTCCCTTTTCCAGCGATATCATTAAAGCAATCTAAATATCCATTTGCAGAATCCACAAAAATAGAGTTTCAAAGCTGCTCTGTAAAAAGAAAGGTTCCACTCTGTTAGCTGAGTACACACATCACAAACTTGTTTCTCAGAATCCTTCTCTGTCTCGTTTTTCTGGGAAGATATTTACTTTTTCACCGTAGGCATCAAAGCGCTCCAAATGTCCACATCCAGAAACTCCAGAAAGAGTGTTTCAAACCTGCTCTATGAAAGGGAATCTTCAACTCTATGAGTTGAATGCAGACATCAGAAAGAAATTTCTGAGAATGCTGCTGTCTACCTTTTATTTGAATTCCCGCTTCCAACGAAATCCTCCAAGCTATCCAAATATCCACTTGCAGATTCCACAAAAAGAGTGTTTCAAAACTGCTCTCTATCAATGGCAAAGTTCAACTCTGTTAGTTGAGGACACATATCACCAACAAGTTTCTGAGAATGCTTCTTCAATTTTTTATGGGAAGACATTTCCTTTTTCACCGTAGGCGTCAAGGCGATCGAAATGTCCACTTCCACAAACTACAAAAAGAGTGTTTCAAACCTGCTCTATGAAAGGCCATGTTCATCTCTATGAGTCGAATGGAAATATCCGAAAGAAATTTCTGGGAATGCTGCTGTCTAGTTTTTATACGAATTCCCGCTTCCAACGAAATCCTCAAAGCAATCCAAATATCCACTTGCAGAATCCACAAAAAGAGTGTTTCAAAACTGCTCTATCAATAGAAAGGTTCAACTCTTTTAGTTGAGTACACACATCACAAACAAGTTTCTGAGAATGCTTCTGTCTGGCTTTTATTGGAAGACGTTTCCTTTTCACCAAAGGCATCAAAGCGCTCCAAATGTCCACTTCCAGATTCTTCTAAAAGAGTGTTTGAAACGTGCTCAAAGTAAGGGAATGTTCAACTCTGTGACTTGAATGCAGATATCACCAAGTAGTTTCTAATAGTGCTTCTGTCTAGAATTTAGATGATGATATTCCCGTTTCCAACGAAATCGTTAGAGCTATCCAAATATCCACTTACAGTTGCTACAAAAACAGTGTTTCCAAACTGCTGCATCAAAAGAAAGGTTCAACTCTGTTAGTTGAGGACACACGTCACAAAGAAGTTTGTGAGAATGCTTCTGTCCGTTTTTGTATGACGATATTCCCTTTTCCAACGATATCGTTAAAGCAATCTAAATATCCATTTGCAGAATCCACAAAAATAGAGTTTCAAAGCTGCTCTGTAAAAAGAAAGGTTCCACTCTGTTAGCTGAGTACACACATCACAAACTTGTCTCTCAGAATCCTTCTGTCTCGTTTTTATGGGAAGATATTTACTTTTTCACCGTAGGCATCAAAGCGCTCCAAATGTCCACATCCAGATACTCCAGAAAGAGTGTTTCAAACCTGCTCTATGAAAGGGAATCTTCAACTCTATGAGTTGAATGCAGACATCAGAAAGAAATTTCTGAGAATACTGCTGTCTACCTTTTATTTGAATTCCCGCTTCCAACGAAATCCTCCAAGCTATCCAAATATCCACCTGCATTTTCCACAACAAGAGTGTTTCAAAACTGCTCTATCAATAGAAATGTTCAACTCCTTTGTCTGGGTACACACATCACAAACAAGTTTCTGAGAATGCTTCTGTCTAGTTTTTATGGGAAGACATTCCCTTTTTCACCAAAGGCATCAAAGCACTCCAAATGTCCACTTCCAGACACTACAAAAAGAGTGTTTCCAACGTGCTCTAAGAAAGTGAATGTTCAACTCTGTGACTTGAATGCAGATATCACAAAGTAGTTTCTGAGAGGGCTTCTGTCTAGATTTTAGATGATGATAATCCCGTTTCCAACAAAATCATTAGGGCTTCCAAATATCCACTTACAGTTTCTACAAAAAGAGTGTTTCCAAACTGCTGCATCAAAAGAGAGGTTCCACTCTGTTAGCTGAGTACACACATCACAAATTTGTTTCTCAGAATCCTGCTGTCTACCTTTTATTTGAATTCCCGCTTCCAACGAAATCCTCCAAGCTATCCAAATATCCACTTGCAGATTCCACAAAAAGAGTGTTTCAAAACTGCTCTCTATCAATGGCAAAGTTCAACTCTGTTAGTTGAGGACACATATCACCAACAAGTTTCTGAGAATGCTTCTGTCTATTTTTTATGGGAAGATATTTCCTTTTTCACCGTAGGCGTCAAGGCGATCGAAATGTCCACTTCCACAAACTACAAAAAGAGTGTTTCAAACCTGCTCTATGAAAGGCCATGTTCATCTCTGTGAGTCGAATGGAAATATCCGAAAGAAATTTCTGGGAATGCTGCTGTCTAGTTTTTATACGAATTCCCGCTTCCAACGAAATCCTCAAAGCAATCCAAATATCCACTTGCAGAATCCACAAAAAGAGTGTTTCAAAACTGCTCTATCAATAGAAAGGTTCAACTCTTTTAGTTGAGTACACACATCACAAACAAGTTTCTGAGAATGCTTCTGTCTGGCTTTTATGGGAAGACGTTTCCTTTTCACCAAAGGCATCAAAGCGCTCCAAATGTCCACTTCCAGATTCTTCCAAAAGAGTGTTTGAAACGTGCTCAAAGTAAGGGAATGTTCAACTCTGTGACTTGAATGCAGATATCACCAAGTAGTTTCTAATAGTGCTTCTGTGTATACTTCAGATGAAGATATTCCCGTTTCCAACGATATCGTTAGACCTACCCAAATATCCACTTACAGTTTCTACAAAAAGAGTGTTTCCAAAGTGCTGCATCTAAAGAAAGGTTCAAATCTGTGAGTTGAGGACACACATCACAAAGAAGTTTCTGAGAAAGCTTCTGTCTAGATTTTGTATGACGATATTCCCTTTTCCAACGATATCGTTAAAGCAATCTAAATATCCATTTGCAGAATCCACAAAAATAGAGTTTCAAAGCTGCTCTGTAAAAAGAAAGGTTCCACTCTGTTAGCTGAGTACACACATCACAAACTTGTTTCTCAGAATCCTTCTCTGTCTCGTTTTTATGGGAAGATATTTACTTTTTCACCGTAGGCATCAAAGCGCTCGAAATGTCCACATCCAGATACTCCAGAAAGAGTGTTTCAAACCTGCTCTATGAAAGGGAATCTTCAACTCTATGAGTTGAATGCAGACATCAGAAAGAAATTTCTGAGAATGCTGCTGTCTACCTTTTATTTGAATTCCCGCTTCCAACGAAATCCTCCAAGCTATTCAAATATCCACCTGCATTTTCCACAACAAGAGTGTTTCAAAACTGCTCTATCAATAGAAATGTTCAACTCCTTTGGCTGGGTACACACATCACAAACAAGTTTCTGAGAATGCTTCTGTCTAGTTTTTATGGGAAGACATTCCCTTTTTCACCAAAGACATCAAAGCGCTCCAAATGTCCACTTCCAGACACTACAAAAAGAGTGTTTCAAACGTGCTCTAAGAAAGCGAATGTTCAACTCTGTGACTTGAATGCAGATATCACAAAGTAGTTTCTGAGAGGGCTTCTGTCTAGATTTTAGATGATGATATTCCCGTTTCCAACGAAATCATTAGAGCTATCCAAATATCCACTTACAGTTTTTACAAAAAGAGTGTTTCCAAACTGCTGCATCAAAAGAGAGGTTCCACTCTGTTAGCTGAGTACACACATCACAAACTTGTTTCTGAGAATCCTTCTGTCTCGTTTTTATGGGAAGATATTTACTTTTTCACCGTAGGCATCAAAGCGCTCCAAATGTCCACATCCAGATACTCCAGAAAGAGTGTTTCAAACCTGCTCTATGAAAGGAAATCTTCAACTCTATGAGTTGAATGCAGACATCAGAAAGAAATTTCTGAGAATGCTGCTGTCTACCTTTTATTTGAATTCCCGCTTCCTACGAAATCCTCCAAGCTATCCAAATATCCACTTGCAGATTCCACAAAAAGAGTGTTTCAAAACTGCTCTCTATCAATGGCAAAGTTCAACTCTGTTAGTTGAGGACACATATCACCAACAAGTTTCTGAGAATGCTTCTGTCTATTTTTTATGGGAAGATATTTCCTTTTTCACCGTAGGCGTCAAGGCGATCGAAATGTCCACTTCCACAAACTACAAAAAGAGTGTTTCAAACCTGCTCTATGAAAGGCCATGTTCATCTCTATGAGTTGAATGGAAATATCCGAAAGAAATTTCTGGGAATGCTGTTGTCTAGTGTTTATACGAATTCCCGCTTCCAACGAAATCCTCAAAGCAATCCAAATATCCACTTGCAGAATCCACAAAAAGAGTGTTTCAAAACTGCTCTATCAATAGAAAGGTTCAACTCTTTTAGTTGAGTACACACATCACGAACAAGTTTCTGAGAATGCTTCTGTCTGGCTTTTATTGGAAGACGTTTCCTTTTCACCAAAGGCATCAAAGCGCTCCAAATGTCCACTTCCAGATTCTTCCAAAAGAGTGTTTCAAACGTGCTCAAAGTAAGGGAATGTTCAACTCTGTGACTTGAATGCAGATATCACCAAGTAGTTTCTAATAGTGCTTCTGTCTAGATTTCAGATGATGATATTCCCGTTTCCAACGAAATCGTTAGAGCTAAGCAAATATCCAGTTACAGTTTCTACCAAAAGGGTGTTTCCAAATTGCTGCATCAAAAGAAAGGTTCAACTCTGTTAGTTGAGGACACACATCACAAAGAAGTTTGTGAGAATGCTTCTGTCTAGATTTTGTATGACGATATTCCCTTTTCCAACAATATCGTTAAAGCAATCTAAATATCAATTTGCAGAATCCACAAAAATAGAGTTTCAAAGCTGCTCTGTAAAAATAAAGGTTCCACTCTGTTAGCTGAGTACACACATCACAAACTTGTTTCTGAGAATCCTTCTGTCTCGTTTTTATGGGAAGATATTTACTTTTCCACCGTAGGCATCAAAGCGCTCCAAATGTCCACATCCAGATACCCCAGAACGAGTGTTTCAAACCTGCTCTATGAAAGGGAATCTTCAACTCTATGAGTTGAATGCAGACATCAGAAAGAAATTTCTGAGAATGCTGCTGTCTACCTTTTATTTGAATTCCCGCTTCCAACGAAATCCTCCAAGCTATCCAAATATCCACCTGCATTTTCCACAACAAGAGTGTTCCAAAACTGCTCTATCAATAGAAATGTTCAACTCCTTTGGCTGGGTACACACATCACAAACAAGTTTCTGAGAATGCTTCTGTCTAGTTTTTATGGGAAGACGTTCCCTTTTTCACCAAAGGCATCAAAGCGCTCCAAATGTCCACTTCCAGACACTACAAAAAGAGTGTTTCAAACGTGCTCTAAGAAAGCGAATGTTCAACTCTGTGACTTGAATGCAGATATCACAAAGTAGTTTCTGAGAGTGCTTCTGTCTAGATTTTAGATGATGATATTCCCGTTTCCAAAGAAATCATTAGAGCTATCCAAATATCCACTTACAGTTTCTACAAAAAGAGTGTTTCCAAACTGCTGCATCAAAAGAGAGGTTCCACTCTGTTAGCCGAGTACACACATCACAAACTTGTTTCTCAGAATCCTTCTGTCTCGTTTTTATGGGAAGATATTTACTTTTCCACCGTAGGCATCAAAGCGCTCCAAATGTCCACATCCAGATACTCCAGAAAGAGTGTTTCAAACCTGCTCTATGAAAGGGAATCTTCAACTCTATGAGTTGAATGCAGACATCAGAAAGAAATTTCTGAGAATGCTGCTGTCTATCTTTTATTTGAATTCCCGCTTCCAACGAAATCCTCCAAGCTATCCAAATATCCACTTGCAGATTCCACAAAAAGAGTGTTTCAAAACTGCTCTCTATCAATGGCAAAGTTCAACTCTGTTAGTTGAGGACACATATCACCAACAAGTTTCTGAGAATGCTTCTGTCTATTTTTTATGGGAAGATATTTCCTTTTTCAGCGTAGGCGTCAAGGCGATCGAAATGTCCACTTCCACAAACTACAAAAAGAGTGTTTCAAACCTGCTCTATGAAAGGCCATGTTCATCTCTATGAGTTGAATGGAAATATCCGAAAGAAATTTCTGGGAATGCTGCTGTCTAGTTTTTATACGAATTCCCGCTTCCAACGAAATCCTCAACGCAATCCAAATATCCACTTGCAGAATCCACAAAAAGAGTGTTTCAAAACTGCTCTATCAATAGAAAGGTTCAACTCTTTTAGTTGAGTACACACATCACAAACAAGTTTCTGAGAATGCTTCTGTCTGGCTTTTATTGGAAGACGTTTCCTTTTCACCAAAGGCATCAAAGCGCTCCAAATGTCCACTTCCAGATTCTTCCAAAAGAGTGTTTCAAACGTGCTCGAAGTAAGGGAATGTTCAACTCTGTGACTTGAATGCAGATATCACCAAGTAGTTTCTAATAGTGCTTCTGTCTAGATTTTAGATGATGATATTCCCGTTTCCAACGAAATCGTTAGAGCTATCCAAATATCCAGTTACAGTTTCTATCAAAAGGGTGCTTCCAAATTGCTGCATCAAAAGAAAGGTTCAACTCTGTTAGTTGAGGACACACATCACAAAGAAGTTTGTGAGAATGCTTCTGTCTAGATTTTGTATGACGGTATTCCCTTTTCCAACGATATCGTTAAAGCAATCTAAATATCAATTTGCAGAATCCACAACAATAGAGTTTCAAAGCTGCTCTGTAAAAAGAAAGGTTCCACTCTGTTAGCTGAGTACACACATCACAAACTTGTTTCTGAGAATCCTTCTGTCTCGTTTTTATGGGAAGATATTTACTTTTTCACCGTAGGCATCAAAGCGCTCCAAATGTCCACATACAGATACTCCAGAAAGAGTGTTTCAAACCTGCTCTATGAAAGGGAATCTTCAACTCTATGAGTTGAATGCAGACATCAGAAAGAAATTTCTGAGAATGCTGCTGTCTACCTTTTATTTGAACTCCCGCTTCCAACGAAATCCTCCAAGCTATCCAAATATCCACTTGCATTTTCCACAAAAAGAGTGCTTCAAAACTGCTCTATCAATAGAAATGTTCAACTCCTTTAGCTGGGTGCACACATCACAAACAAGTTTCTGAGAATGCTTCTGTCTACTTTTTAAGGGAAGACATTTCCTTTTTCACCAAAGGCATCAAAGCGCTCCAAATGTCCACTTCCAGATTCTACAAAAAGAGTGTTTCAAACCTGCTCTAAGTAAGAGAGTTTTCAACTATGTGACTGGAATGCAGATATCACAAAGTAGTTTCTGAGACTGCTTCTGTCTCGATTTTAGATGATATTCCCGTTTCCAACGAAATCATTAGAGCTATCCAAATATCCACTTACAGTTTCTACAAAAAGAGTGTTTCCAAACTGCTGCATCAAAAGAGAGGTTCCACTCTGTTAGCTGAGTACACACATCACAAACTTGTTTCTGAGAATCCTTCTGTCTCGTTTTTATGGGAAGATTATACTTTTTCACCGTAGGCATCAAAGCGCTCCAAATGTCCACATCCAGATACTACAGAAAGAGTGTTTCAAACCTGCTCTATGAAAGGGAATCTTCAACTCTATGAGTTGAATGCAGACATCAGAAAGAAATTTCTCAGAATGCTGCTGTCTACCTTTTATTTGAATTCCCGCTTCCAACGAAATCCTCCAAGCTATCCAAATATCCACTTGCAGATTCCACAAAAAGAGTGTTTCAAAACTGCTCTCTATCAATGGCAAAGTTCAACTCTGTTAGTTGAGGACACATATCACCAACAAGTTTCTGAGAATGCTTCTGTCTATTTTTTATGGGAAGATATTTCCTTTTTCACCGTAGGCGTCAAGGCGATCGAAATGTCCACTTCCACAAACTACAAAAAGAGTGTTTCAAACTTGCTCTATGAAAGGCCATGTTCATTTCTATGAGTCGAATGGAAATATCCGAAAGAAATTTCTGGGAATGCTGCTGTCTAGTTTTTATACGAATTCCCGCTTCCAACGAAATCCTCAAAGCAATCCAAATATCCACTTGCAGAATCCACAAAAAGAGTGTTTCAAAACTGCTCTATCAATAGAAAGGTTCAACTCTTTTAGTTGAGTACACACATCACAAACAAGTTTCTGAGAATGCTTCTGTCTGGCTTTTATTGGAAGACGTTTCCTTTTCACCAAAGGCATCAAAGCGCTCCAAATGTCCACTTCCAGATTCTTCCAAAAGAGTGTTTCAAACGTGCTCAAAGTAAGGGAATGTTCAACTCTTTGACTTTAATGCAGATATCACCAAGTAGTTTCTAATAGTGCTTCTGTGTATACTTTAGATGAAGATATTCCCGTTTCCAACGATATCGTTAGACCTACCCAAATATCCACTTACAGTTTCTACAAAAAGAGTGTTTCCAAACTGCTGCATCTAAAGAAAGGTTCAACTCTGTTACTTGAGGACACACATCACAACGAAGTTTCTGAGAAAGCTTCTGTCCAGATTTTGTATGACAATATTCCCTTTTCCAACGATATCGTTAAAGCAATCTAAATATCAATTTGCAGAATCCACAAAAATAGAGTTTGAAAGCTGCTCTGTAAAAAGAAAGGTTCCACTCTGTTAGCTGAGTACACACATCACAAACTTGTTTCTGAGAATCCTTCTGTCTAGTTTTTATGGGAAGATATTTACTTTTTCACCGTAGATATCAAAGCGCTCCAAATGTCCACATCCAGATACTACAGAAAGAGTGTTTCAAACCTGCTCTATGAAAGGGAATCTTCAACTCTATGAGTTGAATGCAGACATCAGAAAGTAATTTCTGAGAATGCTGCTGTCTACCTTTTATTTGAATTCCCGCTTCCAACGAAATCCTCCAAGCTATCCAAATATCCACCTGCATTTTCCACAAAACGAGTGTTTCAAAACTGCTCTATCAATAGAAATGTTCAACTCCTTTGGCTGGGTACACACATCACAAACAAGTTTCTGAGAATGCTTCTGTCTAGTTTTTATGGGAAGACGTTCCCTTTTTCACCAAAGGCATCAAAGCGCTCCAAATGTCCACTTCCAGACACTACAAAAAGAGTGTTTCCAACGTGCTCTAAGAAAGCGAATGTTCAACTCTGTGACTTGAATGCACATATCACAAAGTAGTTTCTGAGAGTGCTTCTGTCTAGATTTTAGATGATGATATTCCCGTTTCCAACGAAATGATTAGAGCTATCCAAATATCCACTTACAGTTTCTACAAAAAGAGTGTTTCCAAACTGCTGCATCAAAAGAGAGGTTCCACTCTGTTAGCTGAGTACACACATCACAAACTTGTTTCTCAGAATCCTTCTGTCTCCTTTTTATGGGAAGATATTTACTTTTTCACCGTAGGCATCAAAGCGCTCCAAATGTCCACATCCAGATACTCCAGAAAGAGTGTTTCAAACCTGCTCTATGAAAGGGAATCTTCAACTCTATGAGTTGAATGCAGACATCAGAAAGATATTTCTGAGAATGCTGCTGTCTACCTTTTATTTGAATTCCCGCTTCCAACGAAATCCTCCAAGCTATCCAAATATCCACTTGCAGATTCCACACAAAGAGTGTTTTAAAACTGCTCTCTATCAATGGCAAAGTTCAACTCTGTTAGTTGAGGACACATATCACCAACAAGTTTCTGAGAATGCTTCTGTCTATTTTTTATGGGAAGATATTTCCTTTTTCACCGTAGGCGTCAAGGCGATCAAAATGTCCACTTCCACAAACTACAAAAAGAGTGTTTCAAACCTGCTCTATGAAAGGCCATGTTCATCTCTATGAGTCGAATGGAAATATCCGAAAGAAATTTCTGGGAATGCTGCTGTCTAGTTTTTATACGAATTCCCGCTTCCAACGAAATCCTCAAAGCAATCCAAATATCCACTTGCAGAATCCACAAAAAGAGTGTTTCAAAACTGCTCTATCAATAGAAAGGTTCAACTCTTTTAGTTGAGTACACACATCACAAACAAGTTTCTGAGAATGCTTCTGTCTGGCTTTTATTGGAAGACGTTTCCTTTTCACCAAAGGCATCAAAGCGCTCCAAATGTCCACTTCCAGATTCTTCCAAAAGAGTGTTTCAAACGTGCTCAAAGTAAGGGAATGTTCAACTCTGTGACTTGAATGCAGATATCACCAAGTAGTTTCTAATAGTGCTTTCTGTCTAGATTTTAGATGATCATATTCCCGTTTCCAACGAAATCGTTAGAGCTATCCAAATATCCAGTTACAGTTTCTACCAAAAGGGTGTTTCCAAATTGCTGCATCAAAAGAAAGGTTCAACTCTGTTAGTTGAGGACCCACATCACAAAGAAGTTTGTGAGAATGCTTCTGTCTAGATTTTGTATGACGATATTCCCTTTTCCAACGATATCGTTAAAACAATCTAAATATAAATTTGCAGAATCCACAAAAATACAGTTTCAAAGCTGCTCTGTAAAAAGAAAGGTTCCACTCTTTTGGCTGAGTACACACATCAAAAACTTGTTTCTGAGAATCCTTCTGTCTCGTTTTTATGGGAAGATATTTACTTTTTCACCGTAGGCATCAAAGCGCTCCAAATGTCCACATCCAGATACTCCAGAAAGAGTGTTTCAAACCTGCTCTATGAAAGGGAATCTTCAACTCTACGAGTTGAATGCAGACATCAGAAAGAAATTTCTGAGAATGCTGCTGTCTACCTTTTATTTGAATTCCCGCTTCCAACGATATCCTCCAAGCTATCCAAATATCCACTTGCATTTTCCACAAAAAGAGTGTTTCAAAACTGCTCTATCAATAGAAATGTTCAACTCCTTTGGCTGGGTACACACATCACAAACAAGTTTCTGAGAATGCTTCTGTCTAGTTTTTATGGGAAGACATTCACTTTTTCACCAAAGGCATCAAAGCGCTCCAAATGTCCACTTCCAGACACTACAAAAAGAGTGTTTCAAACGTGCTCTAAGAAAGCGAATGTTCAACTCTGTGACTTGAATGCAGATATCACAAAGTAGTTTCTGAGAGGGCTTCTGTCTAGATTTTAGATGATGATATTCCCGTTTCCAACGAAATCATTACAGCTATCCAAATATCCACTTATAGTTTCTACAAAAAGAGTGTTTCCAAACTGCTGCATCAAAAGAGAGGTTCCACACTCTTAGCTGAGTACACACATCACAAACTTGTTTCTCAGAATCCTTCTTCAATTTTTTATGGGAAGACATTTCCTTTTTCACCGTAGGCGTCAAAGCGCTCCAAATGTCCACATCCAGATAGTACAGAAAGAGTGTTTCAAACCTGCTCTATTAAAGGGAATGTTCAACTCTATGAGTTGAATGCAAACATCAGAAAGAAATTTCTGAGAATGCTGCTGTCTACCTTTTATTTGAATTCCCGCTTCCAACGAAATCCTCCAAACTATCCAAATATCCACTCGCAGATTCCACAAAAAGAGTGTTTCAAAACTGCTCTCTATCAATGGCAAAGTTCAACTCTGTTAGTTGAGGACACATATCACCAACAAGTTTCTGAGAATGCTTCTGTCTATTTTTTATGGGAAGATATTTCCTTTTTCAGCGTAGGCGTCAAGGCGATCGAAATGTCCACTTCCACAAACTACAAAAAGAGTGTTTCAAACCTGCTCTATGAAAGGCCATGTTCATCTCTATGAGTTGAATGGAAATATCCGAAAGAAATTTCTGGGAATGCTGCTGTCTAGTTTTTATACGAATTCCCGCTTCCAACGAAATCCTCAAAGCAATCCAAATATCCACTTGCAGAATCCACAAAAAGAGTGTTTCAAAACTACACTATTAATAGAAAGGTTCAACTCTTTTAATTGAGTACACACATCACAAACAAGTTTCTGAGAATGCTTCTGTCTGGCTTTTATTGGAAGACGTTTCCTTTTCACCAAAGGCATCAAAGCGCTCCAAATGTCCACTTCCAGATTCTTCCAAAAGAGTGTTTCAAACGTGGTCGAAGTAAGGGAATGTTCAACTCTGTGACTTGAATGCAGGTATCACCAAGTAGTTTCTAATAGTGCTTCTGTCTAGATTTTAGATGATGATATTCCCGTTTCCAACGAAATCATTAGAGCTATCCAAATATCCACTTACAGT